>NC_000002.12:16752179-16903694 GCF_000001405.40 Homo sapiens | reverse complement strand
CTGAGCTGATGCTGATTCCAGGGGACCCAAAACATCATTGTGGTCCTCCAGTTAAAGTAGGAGCTTATGGAGGTCAGGTAATTAATGGAGTTTTAGCTCAGGTCCAACTTACAGTGGGTCCCCAGACTTATCCTGTGGTCATTTTCCCAGTGCCAGAATGCATAATTGGCAGAGACATATTTAGCAACTGGCAGAACCACCACATTGGCCCTCTGACTGGTAGGGTGAGGGCAATTATGGTGGGAGAGGCCAAATGGAAGCCATTAGAACTGCCTCTACCTAGAAAAATAGTAAATCCCCTGCAGGGATTGAGGAGATTAGTGCCACCATCAAGGACTTGAAAGATGCAGGGGTGGTGATTCCCACCACATCCCCATTGAACTTTCCCATTTGGCCTCTGCAGAAGACAGATGGATCTTGGAAAACAACAGTGGATTATCGTAAGGTTAACCAAGTGGTGACTTCAGTTGCGGCTGCTATACTAAATGTGGTTTCATTGCTTGGCAAATTAACATATCTAGTACCGGGTATGTAGCTATTGACTTGGTAAATGCCTTTTTCTCCATTCCTGTCCATAAGGCCCACCAGAAGCAATTTGCCTTCAGCTGTCAAGGCCAGCAATATACCTTTACTTTCTAACCTCAGGGGTATATCAACTTTGTGGCTTTGTGTTATAATCTTATTAGGAGAGACCTTGATCGCTTTTTGCTTCTGCAAGATATCACACTGGTCGATTACATTGATGACATTATGCTGATTAGGTCCAGTGAGCAAGAAGTAGCAAACACACTGGACTTCTTGGTAAGATATTTGTGTGCAAGAGGATGGGAAATAAATATAACTAAAATTCAGGGACCTTCTCCTTCAGTAAAATTTCTATGGGTTGGGTGGTGTGGGGACTATTGAGGTAGTCCTTCTAAGATAAAGGATAAGTTTCTGCATCTGGCCCCTCCTATAACCAAGAAAGAGGTACAACACCCAGCGAGCATATTTGGATTTTGGAGGCAACACATTCCTTATTTGAATATATTACTCCAGCCCATTTATTGAGTGACCCAAAAGGCTGCCAGTTTTGAGTGGGGACCAGAACAGGATAAGGCTCTGCAATAGGTCCAGGCTGCTGTGCAAGCTGCTCTGCCACTTGGACTATAAGACCCAGCAGATTTAATGGTGCTTAAAGATTCACTGCATAAATTGTCAGTAATGTAGTGGGGTCCTTCCTCAAGGGGACCTGGTATTCCCTTCATTCAAAGGGTTCTGGGCTTTTAACTTGCTTAAGTCTGGAAATTGATTGAGGGGCTGTGATTCTCTGTTTTTATAATTCAGTGGCAGATAGTGATGCTGTTTGGGGCCTTTGGCAGGCCCCCGTAGGTGAATCATAGCAGAGGCCTGTAGGATTTTGGAACAAGTCCCTGCCATCTTCTGCAGATAACCGTTCTTCTTTTGAGAGACAGCTCTTGGCTTGTTACTGAGCTTTGGTGGCATCTGAATGTATTGAAATAGGAAGGGTTTCCTTGTCCCCTTCACAGAGCATGTGATGGGGGTATGACTTGCTTCTTTGGTGCCCCAATGCTCAAACATCTAGGGGAGCATACAGACAGGCAGGCTGTGGGGCTCCAACCCCATGGCAGTGTCTAAGGGTGAATGTTTACAGCTCCTGAAGCCCCAATAGGCCTGTGCAACAGCGTGCTCTTTTAGTTTACCTATAGGCTTCTAGTGTTAACCAGCTCCATTAGACCCTCTACCTTGTCACAAGGACAGAGTGCTTAGTGTATCATGGATTCTTACCTTGGTGTACTGGAAGAATTGGACCACACATGGGCTTGGAGAATGAGTGCAAAGTTTTATTGAGTGGAAGTAGCTCTCAGCCGATGGGGGAGTCAGAAAGGAGATGGTTTTCCCATGAAGTTGGGCTACTCAGCATTCCTGGCTCCCCTCCAACTGGCCCGGTCAAACTCCACCTCATCCTGCCAGTCAGTGGCCTGCTGGGGTCCCAGTGCCTATCAGTGTGCTCTTTTTCCAGCATGCTCCTCTCAACATCCTCTGGACGACCAGCCACTTATGTCTTCTTCCACTGATATACTCCTCTCAAAGTCTGGCTGCCTGTTTGTCTGCCCACTAGGGTCTCAGGTTTTTATAGGCCCAGGATGGGGGGCATGGTGGGCCCGGGTGGTCTTGGAAAATGCAACATTTGGGCGAGAAAGCAGGAGCACCTGTCCTCATCTACGTCAGTGGGGAGGGAACCATAACCAGGGACCACGCCCTCCTCTACCCAGCACCTCCCTTCCTCCTCTTCTGTATCATTTAATGGGACATGCTCTTCCCTTCCCAGCACTCCCATATCATTCTGCCCCTCTGAAGAGGTACATCTAACTGCCATCAGAATATGGAAGATGACCAGTATTAGCTGCTTTCTGCTGACAGGGGGCATTGTTTTGGGGGGAAAAACAGCAGTCAGATTCCTCCCAGAGGTCTCTCTAAGGGTTCCTAGCAAAGGGGAGCCATCAGCCAAGGCTCTGGTTGCCTGACCATTTGGAGTTTGGTGGTTTCTAGGCGTGAGAGGAAAAACAAGTTTTATAAGATTAAGTATGCATGGGTTAAACACGTGTGTTATACAAGGAAAGAATTTAGTGCCAAAGATTAGAGAGACAAGAAGTAAAATATACTAACAACATTGTACTCTGAGCCGTTTCACCCTGGTGATAGAAATTAAACCTTGTATGGGAGCAGATAAACTTTTAGAAAAGAGATAACTGTTCTTGCCGTATCTTTAGCAGTTAATAGGTGCACCCCGGGAATACCTGTATCTCCTCTCTCTTTCCTGGGCCTCCCTGTTTCTATTATTAAAAACCTAGATAGCCACTTTCTGCCTGCCTTTGCACTCACTCTCCAAGCCCACGTGTGATCCAATTCTTCCAGTACACCAAGGCAAGAATCCAGGATACAGAAAGCCCTCTGTCCTTGTGACAAGGTAGAGGGTCTAATGGAGCTGGTTAACACAAGCAGCCTATAGGTAAACTAAAAGTCTCCAAATTCTTCAGTTTTGGAATTCAGACTGGCTGTCCTTACTCCTCAGCCTGCAGGTGGCGTATTGTGGGACCTTATGATCTCAGCCTGCAGGTGGCGTATTGTGGGACCTTATGATCCTGTGAGTTAATACTCAAAAAACTTTCCTTTATATGTGGTGACTTGACTGGTATGTATGTATTCCATTAGTTCTGTCCCTCTAAAGAACTGTCACTAATACAGCCTGGCATTTTAAGATTGGAGAGTAACTAAAACCATTCATAGATACCTCAAATGAGACACCCACCTTTGTTTGCACACATGTTCCTCAAGCCAGAATCCACTCCTTTCCATTAGGGGGTGGAATTAACCGAACTGAAACAACCAGTCATCCAGGGCCCTCTTATCTTGAGAGATATTTTCTTCCTCATGACAAAATATACCTGAATAATACAGTTGGGCTGATGAGTTTAGTATTATGTTACTCACAAAGTCAAAGCCTCATAACTATCTCTAAACCAGGACTATTGCAGCAGGTTCCTGCCCAGGGCAGGTTCCACTTGGCTCCTAGTCATGAGGCTCTCCTTCTCAAGCTTTTTCCAGCCTCCAAACCATTTTCAAACCAAATAACTTATCGATGTCAGCCTCACAATTAAATAAATATACAACCTAACACCAAATGTATACTGTCTACTCTGTCCTTGACTTTGGTTACACACTTGGTGAGTGGGCTGTGACCTTATTCAAGACGCACTTTGTGCCAGGTCTGATGAGCAGCAACAATCTTGTTTTATTGGACCCACATGTTTTTCTGGATGACCTGCCTCATTTTAGTCTAGTTTATACTGCAGCCTGTGCTTTTCTTGCAAACCTGTTCCCAAGCCAGGGATTTAATCTCTAGAGTTAAAAATGCTAACTCAGAGCCTGGAGTGCTGCTGTCTACAGACAGATCAAGGTATGACCTTGTCACATACCCCAATTTCACTGCTAGAGAAATGGTTCTCTCATTTCTGCATGTGACCTCAGAATATGTCTACTTCCCTTGACAATCACCAGCATCATCTGGAGACATATTCCATCCAGATGAGGTAAGCAGTTACTGCCCCAAGCTGTACTGGACTGGCATCCCTCTAGCACCAATGGTCGGGGGCAATTTTAGGTACCAACCCCAGATCCTCCCTCTTTTCTCTCTCCTACTGCAATGAACTGGTTAATGATCCCTCAGATAAAACTCAGAGTAGATCTTTCTATCCCAATTTCTTAGGGTTTAAATGAGTTATATTACTATTTACTTCTACTTCAGTGTTATTTTTATTATTTCTATCAAACCAATAATAGGCTAATTTTTCAACCAAAGTTATGTCTACTTTAGTCACAACAGGTTTTGAAATAAGATTTACATTTTGAAAAATACATATAAAATCTACTTATTTTCACTTAAATACTTACATCTTTTTAGCCTAATAAGAGTGTCTAAGTCATTAGCCTAAACTTTGCTCTTAGTTATGATAGATCTTTAATGTGAAGAATTTTACATCCCAGAAAATTCATAAAAATTCATGTTGCAAGAGCAGAAGTGCTTTTATGCAATTGGGTTTCTTGACACAAAATGAGATCTTGATGTGAAATTTCTGCACCAGTGATTTTAAGACACTGAGGAGAGTATGAGAGTTTTGACATAAACAGAAAGGAAATTGATTTTTGTTCAAGAACGATGCAGCATGGTTATTAGGAATAAATTAAACTCCTAAGGAAGTGTGTTCCCAGCCTCCATCTGCTTATCCTTGTTAGGAGCAGAGTCAGAATCATGTAGAGGATTGGTGCAGGGGAAGCTGCAGGAGTATTCACTCACATTTCCTTCCCATCTTCTCCATGCCAGGCAATGAGACTTGCGGACATGGATTGCAGGGCTAGAAAGACCAGTCTCTGGCCCCAGAGGAGTAGACTCATTGCCTTCAGTTCAGGGATGGCCTGACCCACACTGCCTCTCTCATCTACCGCAGCTGCCATGCCCACTCTCTGGTGAAGTTTCTCCCCTCCCAAGTCTGGGAGTTATTATTCCTTATGGCAAGCACACCCTTAACTCTCATTGTGGTGACTTGACTGGTAATGATTGAAGAGAGAATAAACAAAATATTTTAAAAAATAATAATAAAAGAAAGAGAAAGGAAGGAAGGAAGGAAATGCACCTGTAATCCTAGCACTTTGGGAGGCTGATGGGGGAGGATTGCTTGAGCCCAGGAGTGCAAGACCAACCTGGGCAACAAAGCGAGACCCCCCACCCCTCAACCATTTCTACAAAAAAAAAAAAAAAAAAAAAAAACTAAAAATAATTTAAAAATAAAATAAACTGATGGAATATGCAGAGATTCAAGAATCCCTACCAAATTCTTATCACCATTGTTCTGGAATTTCTTGCTTAATATCTTCCTGATAGATTTCCTGTCCTTTTCTCCTGTTTCTGAGGATGTAGCTCAGAAATTGTCTAATTGTCTTCTTAGCACACAGGCCTAAAGTCGAGATGAAGCTTATGAATAAATCTCTGCTCCCTTGTTTCTTGTGTGCAAATTGCTTAGAAAATGGGGAGGAAGGCTGGGTGCAGTGGCTCATGCCTGCAATCACAGCACTTTGGGAGGCCGGAGCAGGCGGATCACCTGGCATCAGGAGTTCAATACCAGCCTGGCCAACATGGCAAAAACCCATCTCTGCTAAAAGAAAAAAAAAATACAAAAAGTAGCTGGGCATAGTGGCACACACCTGTAATCCCAGCTACTCAGGAGGCTGAGGCAGGAGAATTGCTTGAATCCAGGAAGCGGAGGTTGTGGTGAGCTGAGGTCATGCTACTGTACTCCAGCCTGGGCGACAGAACAAGACTCTGTCTCAAAAATAAATAAATAAAAAAGAAAAGAAAAAATAGGATGGAAGCTCTGGTCTTGAGGAAGCTTCCATTGGCCCATGCTCCAAAAACTCCTTGGAGCATTTTTAAAATTGGGCCTAAGAGAAGCAAATTGGTTATTTTAGTTCTTTAAGCAATGCCACTGCAAATGTTGACTAGTATTTAATTTAAATTATTAAGGTGAGTTGAAGCCATTACTAGGAAGGTTTTAGAATCTTACTCTTATTAGGAAAGTCTGTGGTTTTCAAAACAAGGGATCAGTCTTTCATTTTACTTGTTTAATTTGATATTAGTGGTTGGAGGGACTATATATGCGTACTTCGGCCAGTGTGTGTTTCACAGAGCAATTTGATCAGTCATTGCATTGCTCATATAATTTGTGGGACCCAGTGCAAAATGAAATTGCAGTCTCTTTTGAAAATGAAGGAAAGAAGTCCTTTAAAGACATTTAAATGTAAAGTATTTTCCTTTCTTCCACAGTCTCTTGACTTGCCACCGGACTTTATATTTGGTATTTAATGGCATTCTAGGTTAAAAAAATTTCAAAAAATAAATTCTTAGAGTGAATTTTACCTTTATCCTTATTTTATGCAATGCCAGTTTAAAATGCAAATATAGGAGCGCTTAACTCATATGTAGAATCACCAAAGTTACAGTTTGTATTTCACAGCTTGTACATACATATGTATTTTGTTCTTACTAGAACAGTGGAAATGCTGTGCAAAAGCAACTCAACAGTTTATATTTCACTTTGTGATACGCACACATTCTACCAACACTCTCTACCTTCAGATGAGTAAGAAAGGACTGAAAGAAAAAGGAACTGTGGAATGTGAAATCTTACCCTTTCCATCTTTATCACTGTCTTATACATAACAAATCTCCCTCGTAGTTCTCTGAGTCTCCCATGCATCCTGGGTCCCTGGAGTACTATATCCATGAGACACTGTGAACACTACATAGAAATGGCTGGCAAGGAACAGGGGATGTGCATATTGCTTGTAACTCCTCTGCTCACATGCGCACTCGGTTGACCACACAGGTCAAATGCCCATGAAGCCAGTCCTGTTGGCTATCTGCATCATGCTTCGCATCTATTATATCCTAGGCTTTGAAAATAATATAGCAACAAAGAATTAACACATGTAGAGTTTCATATTTATAGAATATTTTCACATTCATTTGATCATTTTTACTTCACATCTATCGATACAGAAGGCAAATATTTCTGTTCCCATTTTTGAAATAAGAAACTCATGGCCCGGGGAAATTGTGAGAAACAGGACCAAAAATTGAGCACATATTCTGACTTTAAAGCCCTTTCAGATGCCGTATCCACTTGAACATATATTTACTATACACATCCCAGTTTATTAGAAAATAAACTCCTAGAATGATGATAGAGACATGGGTGAAAAACACAACCAACTATTAATTTGTGAGATACAGAATGACTTATTTTAAAGATTCAAAGAAGGGACAATTTACAGTAGACTTTGATAATGCTGATGTTCCAAAACTTGTATTTATTGAATTACCTGTGCTTCCCCAATATTTTTTTAATTTCCGCAACTAAACTCTGTTACAAATCAAATTCCTGTGCAGGTGTGGGTTGGTTTCTTGAGTCTTTGTTCTGTTTCTTTGGTTTATTTGTTCAGCCTTGTGCCAAAAACACACTGTTTTAGGTACTATCCCTTTAAGATAAGTATCATTATCCTATTGTAACAAGTCTTCCAGTATTATTCTCCATTTTGAAAATTGTCTTAGAATAAGCCTGTTTTCCCCCCCATTTTTGTGTATAAATTTTAGAAAGTCATTTTTCCAAGTTGAAATTTTATTGTTTATTAATTAATGAGAGGATTGTTCATGCCTTTGTGGTATTGAGTAGCATTTTACATTAGTTATTACAAATGCAAAAAATGGTAATAAACTTTTGTTATTAATCTTTTATTTAGAAAACTAGCTGAAGGTTCTTATTTAAGTGTAGCATTTTGTCTGTAGCATTGTGAATTTTCTGGTATAGAAAATTTGGCAAGTAACAACAATTTTTTCTCTTTCTCTTTAATTGTTAATCTTATTTCTTCTGCACAGTAAGTGTTTATAACCTCTCAAACAGTGTTGAATAGTTGCAACAAATGTTGGCAAATATTCCCACAATGTTAACGGAAATGCTTTTAAAATTTTATCACTAAGTACTTTTTTCTGTGCATTTTGTTGGACACTTTTCATCTGATAACAGAAATATCCTTATATTTTCAGAGCCATTGTTTAAACATAAATATTTATAAAATAATTTTTCCATATCTGTCGAGATAAGCATGTGCTCTTTCTTTTTCTTTTTGACAGATATTCTGGAACTGGATAATCTTTACATTCCTGTATTACATTTGGTCTTTCTGTCAACACGTATTCTTTTTGTATTTATGTTCTTCAGAATGATTCACCTATAATTTTCCTTTTGCTTTATTGCCTTGTCAAATGTTGATAGTAAACTTATATAAAGCACACCTATTCTTGGGGGGAAAGTATATACACTAGAGATTATTTATTTTTTGAAGAGTTAATAACATTACCTTGTAAATAATATAGAACTCATTTCCTGGGTGAGAGATATATCATTGTTTCAATGTGTTAAATGTTTGCTGGTCAATTCCTATTGTCTACCTCTTCTTCAGTCACCACTGGTAACAATATGTTCAAGAAAATTATTCATTTTATTATTTATTCCTTTATCATTTTAATTATAATTATTAACTCCTGCCTTCTACTTCCTATTTATACTACTTCTTTTGCTTTCATTTTTCCTCATTTTTGTACTGTTTTGGAGTGATATTTTTGTTTATTTTTTGCAACCATTGATTTGCAAATTATTCATTTATTGGCATATTTCCATTACTTAGTTCTTTCCATTATTTAGTTCTTTAAAATTCGGTATTTTTAAAGTTTCAACATATCAACTTTTAAAAGCCTAAAATTAATTAATCATTTAACTTTTTCCCTAATAGTATATGGAACTTAGTTGTACACATCTCTCATAGTATATGGAACTTAGTTGTATGCATCTCTCATACAAGTTATTTTTATTTTAGTGTATTAATTCTACCTTCTTTTTATTTTTATATTAATTATCATTATTGTTCTACACCCACACAATGCTTTTTAATTCACATGATTTTGATTTTTTCTTTCAACATTTCTCTGAATTTTTGGGCTTCTTTGTTAGTTTTATTTGTTTTTTTATGATGTGCTTCATTTGTGAGTGTTTTTATTTGTCCAACTATGTGTGTATTTATCCCTTACTCTTGAGTATTTAATTAGCTGGGTAAAATTTTTTAAGTTGAAAATTTATTTCTCTCAGCAGTTCAAAAGTATTATTTATCCATTTTCTTGTATCTCCTGTTGCTGTTGAGAAGTCTGCTCTCTCAATTTGGCATTTCTTCCTAAATTGTATGTCTTTGTTATTTTACTACATTTTAGTTTCTCCTTTTAAATTTACTACTAACAAAATCACCATCTCAAATCAGTGTGGAAAGATTGAGGTTTTAATAATGTTGGAGGCCAGGCATGGTGGCTCACACCTGAAATCCCAGTACTTTGGGAGGCCAAGGCAAGCGGTTCGATTGAGATCAGGAATTTGGGACCAGCCTGGGCAACATAGCGAGACCCCAACTCTACAAAAAAATACAAAAGTTAGCCATGTGTGGTGGCACATGCCTGCAGTCCCAGCTACTTGAGAAGCTGAGGTGGGAGGATCACTTGAGCCCAGGAGGCAGAGGTTGCAGTGAGCCAAGATGGAGCCACTGCATTCAAGCCTAGATAACAAAGCAAGAGTCTGTATCAAAAAAAAAAAAGAAAGAAAACAATAAATAATGTTGAAAAAAATTGGATAACCATATGTTTCTCACATCATACAGAATTAAATCATGCATGGATCAGAGATTAAATATAAAAATTAAAACCATGCAAATACTTTAAAAAACACCAAATAATTGTTGTATAGCATAGGAGTGGGGAAAACTTTCCTAACTGTGGCTCATATTCCATTAAAAAGTAAAAAAGTAATAAATACAACCATATGAAAATAGAAAAAAAGCACGTTTACAATATGAAAAGTGTAATTCAATTTTTAAATGACAATTGGTCATTATTTTCATCTCTTTATTTCTTTATGTCATACCTTAGAAGAATGATGCAACTCAGTATTCCAGTTCACTAATTTGCTCTTCGTTAGTTACCGTTATGCAATTAAGCTCCTTTATTTTATTATTTTATTTAAAAAATATACATATATATTATTTTCTACAATTGTGTTTTCATTTTCAAAGTCCCCAATTGGGTCTTTATCATAATTCACTCTTATTTGTTTTAACCTCTATATGTATTTCAGGGTTATGGTTTCTCATTCTCTCTGATGCCAAGTTTCATTGTAATGTAGCTATTTATCTACTACATTTTTTTCTTCAAGGGTAAGTTTTTTCATGTACTGAGTTTGTGGGCTCGCTTTCATATTTTTGGTTTTCATTATACATTGGTTGTTTCTAGGTTGCGTGCTTATCCTTTAGGTAAGCATTTTTTGGAGTCTCACCCAGCAGTGGCTTCCCTAGTACAAGTTCTGATTGCCATCGTGATTCCTCCTTAGCCTTTCTCCCGCGAAAAATTCACTCATTATCTTGAGTTTTATAAGTATGAGATGGCTATGTATTAACTAATTAAGTATATAGTTCTGGTTGATCTTCTGAAACAGCAGTCCCCAACACTTTTGTGGCACCAGGGACCGGTTTCATGGAAGAGAATTTTTCCATGATGGGAGACAGGGACACTCAAAGTGTGTTGCTTATGTTTAGCCTACTACATAATCTCATTTTGGTTGCTGTCGCTGCAGAAAACTCTGCTTCACAAACATAGGATGTTGGAAATGTAGCAGGCTTTTCAGTGCTTTTGTAGCAATCTCAGGATGTTCCACCTTAACTTTAATCCAGAATGTATGGAGATTTGAAGTTGTCTCTAACATATGTTTAAGGCCACTGTCATTTGCGATCTCTAGCAGTTTATCCTCTTCTATCATGGACAAAGTCAATTCACCTGGCTTATTCACAAATGGGTTGTGGGATCCATTCCTTCCCAATTCAGGAATCTTTTGTGATTGGGAAGTAATGCTCAAACTCTGTTGAAAGCTGAGATAGGTGATCACGCACCAGTTGGGAGAAAGAAGGCCCTGGCTCAGTCTCTTTCAAAATCTCTTCTAATGTTTGAAACATGTCAAAGATCCCAATGTTCTCTCGTCGCCCTCATACTTCCAGTTTGGTTTTTAATGCAGCCTCTGTATCTGCCGATTTGAACACAGTTGTCATTTTTCCTTGCAGGGACAGATTGAGTTTATTGAGCAAGTTGAATATGTCACACAAGTCAGGAAGTTTTGTGACCCATTCTGTGTCACTGAAATGTGCTGCCAGTGATGACAGGTTTTCTAAGAGAAATCTCTGGAGTTCTTGTGACTCAAAATCCCTGGCCAGTGATATACCTTTAGAAAGCCATTTCACTTCTGTATATAAGAGAAGATGTATGTGCTCTGCGACCATCTCCTCACAGAGCTGCGCAAACAGATGTGAGTTAAGGGCATGCACTTTAAAGTGGTTGATAATTTTTTTAATCACATCCTGCAAAATGTTAAGTTCAAGTGACATTTTTCAGCTAGCCAGCATTTCTCTGTGGATAACACATGCATAAACTCACATTCAGAAGCGAACTCTTTGACGCGAGTAGTGAAACCAGAAAGCCATTCAATCATCACAGCCGCTCTGTCCGTGCATTTACCAGCACAGAATGACCAATTCAGTTTTCCTGATATATAATCACTCAAAGACTTGAATAGTTCTTCAGCTGTGATATTGGTTGGCAACAAAAGTGCACATAACATATCCTCATGCATCCTCCTGAAAGATATATGACACAAAAGCAAGCGTTGTTGCTTTGTTGTCAACATTAGCAGGCTTGTCAACCTGGATGATGTGCCACAATGACTCATTAATCCTCTAACAATTGTGCCTCAACATCCTTTGCTATTTCATCAATTCATCTAGTTATGGTGCTAGTAAAGAGGAACACATGCCACCTTCTGAACTGCAGCCACTCCTGAAAGTTTATGACAAATATCTTCAGTAGCAGACAGGATCAACTCTTCACCAATAGTAAAGGGCTTCTTAGCTTTAGCAATGAAGTTAGCCACTAAGATGAGGCATTCAGTGCAGATACATTTGATGAAATGATGGTCTTCAATAATTGATTCTGTTCTTCATATTCATGGTTTTTGGTTTTTAAACGCTAAAGGCTTGTCTTTTAATGAGGGTGCTTGGTCTTCATGTTGTGAAGCAGGTTTGAAGGTTTCATGGCTTTGCTGCCTAGCCAGTCACCACATATTATACAAAGCAGGACTGGAGAATGTAAATAACCAGTCGCCATGAACCCATAATTTAAGTAGACTCTTGGTATTTTCTTCCAAATGCAGCATATTAGTCCATTTTCATACAGCTACAAAGAACTTCCAAAAACTGGGTAATTTATAAAGAAAAGAGGTTTAATTGACTCATAGTTCCACATGGCTGGGGAGGTCTCAGGAAACTTACAATCATGGTAGAAGGCAAAGGGGAAGCAAGGCACCTTCTTCACAGGGCAGCAGAAAGGAGAAATGCCCAGTGAAGAGGGGGAGGAGCCTCTTATAAGACCATCAGATCTCATGAGAACTCACTCACTAATACAAGAACAGCAAAGGGGAAACTGCCCCCCCCGATTCAATTACCTCCACCTGGTCTATCCTTTGGCCTGTGGGGATTACAGGGATTACAATTCAAGATGAGATTTGGGTGGGGACACAAAGTCTAACCATATCATGCAGCTTTTCTTTTGTTGGCAGTCTTAGAGTCTTCTGCTGTCTCATCATTGGGTCTTTTCCCCTTTTCAAAGAAGCTCTCCAGTGACTTTTTTTTTTAACTCATTTTGGTTAGGGTTAGCTGGTGGGCTTACCAAAACTGTGACTGAGACAAGTGCTCAGTGCAGGAAAGAGGTATGGATGAAAGTGGTAAAAAAAATAATGGGTGGGCCATGCATGGACTAAAATAAGTGTCGAATTCTGACTTAAAGCCTTCCATCAGATGCAGCTGTACAATTGAAGTACATCAACTCACTTACCGCTATAAAGCCTGCCACCAGATGCAGCTTAATTGTTATTTGCCACTCATTGATAGGATTTCAATATGGGTCTGCAAACAATTGATTTAGTATGGTCTCTGAGCAGTCAAACCTTTCTGCTAATGTTAATCTGTATTTGCAGCCACTCCCCAGCACTAACTTCACTGCCTTGGCTCCACCTGAGATCATCAGGGATTAGATTCTCATAATCTCATAAGGAGCATGCAACCTAGACCGCTGGCATTCACATTTCACAATAGGGTTCATACTTCTATGAGAATCTAATGCTGCCACTGATCTGACAGGAGGTGGAGCTCAGGCGCTACTGGAGCTTAGGCGCTACTGCGAGTGATGGGGAGCAGCTGTAAATGCAGATGAAGCTTCACTGACCTACTGCTCCCCTCCTGCTGTGAGGCCCATTTCTTAACTGGGAACTCCTGTTCTAAAATACAAGCCTAACCTGGTCACTATCTTTTGTACATGTTCCCAGTAGATCCCTATATGCCTGAATATAAAGTGCAGAAGATAATATCTTTTAGGGTCCAGTCTTGCCAATTATTTGTCCTTATTTCAGATAATGTCCCTCACATTTTATTCTCAAACTTCTAAAGACTTTCTTGCAGGTTTTGTAACATTGAAGGCCACTTCAAGTTCCATACTCTTTCTAACGTGATCTCCCACATGAAATATTATTTTATTTCCATAAATATCTAATGAATTTACTTCAAACACAAACTATACCATCTCCCCCTGTATCAAAATGTCTCCTGTAACCGATAAATATATACACCTACTATGTAACCACAAAGATTAAAAATAAAAACATTTAAAGAAAAGAAGGAACATATGAAATCAGTATCTCATATTGCATCTTAAGAAAGTAGAAAAAGAAAGGAAAAGCCAAAGTAGAAAGGAAATAAAACGTGCAGAAATTAATTAAATGGATAATTTAAAAAGGGAAAATTAGCTAAGAAACAAAAGCAAACTATACCACCTCTACGATTTTGCTCAACAGTTCTTGAATAAATCAATGTGCACTTGCAAAAATAAATGGATTAACTGATAAGTACATGAAAGCTAATTTACCGAACTCTATCAATACGTTTCAATCAGGTAAAGCAAGAGCTTTGAACAATTTCAACTAATCATTTTTAAAAGGTTCTGTAGTAATTTATACCATTTCTAACTTCTGTAATTATTATCATTGTATTATAGAAGATTTACATTAATTCCCCCTGCAAAGATTTAGTTATAATTGTCTCCATTTCAGTGACAAGAAATTTGAAGCTTAAAGTAGATATTGAACTTGCCCAAGATTGTACAACTAATAGCAGGAGTTAAAATTCTCATAAGTTTAGTTGATCCAAAAGCTCTTGTTTTTACCAGGCCACTGTGTCCTTGTATTGTTTTATGAGAATTATATGAAGTTAATAAGAATACTGTGCTTTGAATGCTATGAATAATTGGCAAATTCTTATTTGCTCAGACTTGAAGTTCAGAGGTGCTAGTGGGAAAAGATGATGTGAAATAATTTCCTGCCTCTGGGAGCTTATCAACAATGAATTAGTTAGACAAAAAGTATTACAATTTTTTTATTATACTCTGTATTTGTTAATATGCTAGCAATTTTTTTTGTTTTTATTCTCCAAGCTCTGAGGCAGCCAGTTATGTTAGAAAAAACTCAGATATTGAAAATCAAGTAAAGAGAATTTAAATCCCTAATTTACCAATTACTGGTTCTGTGATCTTACTACCTGCTGAAAAACTTCGTATTATCAATCATTTTGAAATGAGGCAATAGTACTGATAGCCAAGGATTCTCTATAGCATTTACTAAGAAAATGTATGTACAAATATTTAAACATAGTGCCTAACACAGAGTATTATTTCACTGAAACATTTTACCTCTTACTTTGTCTTCTAAACTACGATCTTCTCTGATAACTAGATCACAGAGTGTTTTGTGGAAAAATAAATAAATGAAACCCGATGGAGAGTTTCCATGTGCACCCGAGAGCAGACATAAAAAATACATGAAACAAAAACTGACAGAATTGAAGGGAGAAATAGACAATTCAATAATAATGGTTGGGGAGTTTTAATATCTCCTTTTAATAATGTATACAACAATGTAAAAGAAGCAAAACAAGATACAGAAAATTTTACCAACACTATAAACCAACAAGATCTAATAGACTCTCCATCAAAGCAGCAGAATACACACTCTTCTCTGGGGCTCATAAACTATTTTGCAGAATAGACCTTATGCTAGGCCATAAAACGAGCCTCAATACATTGAGAAGTGTTGACATCATACAAAATAAGTTCTCTAATCACAGTGAAATTAAATTAAAAATAAATGACCCCAGGAGGTGGAGCTTGCAGTGAGCCGAGATCGCGCCACTGCACTCCAGCCTGTGCGACAGAGCAAGACTCCATCTCAAAAAAAAAATAAAAATAAAAATAAAAAATGACACGGGAAATTCAGATATTTAGAAATTAAACAACGAGCTGCTAATAAAACAATGGTCAAAGAAATATTCATAAGGAAAATTTAAAAATCATTTCAACAATTGAAAAAAAGAACCCAACAATATACCCAAATGTACAAGAGGAAGCTAAAGCAGTGTTCAGAGGGAAATTTACACTTTTCGACTCCTGTGTTAAAAACTGAAAAATTACAAATCTATAATCTAATCTCCCAATGTAAGAAACTAGAAAAAAAGTAAACTAAATTCAAAGTAAGTAGAAGAAAAGGAATAATAAAGATTAAAGTGGAAATAAATGAACTTTATAATAGAAAATCAATAGAAAAAAATCAACAAAGTCAAGTTTTTTTAAGTTGCAAAATACAAATTTTTTTCTAGACTGTTCAGTAAAAAGTTATAGAAGACTCCAATTACTAAAATAATGAATGAAAGATGGAACATTACTACAAACCTTACAGAAAAAAAATTATAAGAAAATACTATGAACAACTGTCATAGTATTTGTGTCAACAAATTATATAATGGATAATTTTTTAAAACTATACATAGACAAAAACTACTGAAACTAACTTAAAAAGGAATAGATAATCTGGATACACCTATAATGAATAAAGACATTAAATTAGTAATGAAATATTTTCCACAAAGAAAAGCCTAGGAGCAGGTGGCTTTACTAGATCATTCTGTCAAATGTTTAAAGAACTAACACTAACACTTCACAAATTCTTCCAAAAAATAGGAGGAAGTGACACTTACCAAACAGTCTATGAGGCCAGTATACATGATACCAAAAGCCGATGAAGACATCCCAAGAAAACTATGAACCAATAACTCTTTTTTTTTGAGACAGAGTTTCTCTCTTATTGCCCAGGCTGGAGTGCAACGTCTTGATCTCGGCTCACCGCAACCTCCGCTTCCCAGGTCCAAGTGATTCTCCTGCCTCAGCCTCCTGAGTAGCTGAGATTACAGGCATGTGCCACCATGCCCAGCTAATTTTTGTATTTTTAATAGAGACGGGGTTTCTCCATGTTGGTCAGGCTGGTCTCGAACTCCCGACCTCAGGTGATCCGCCCGCCTCGGCCTCCCAAAGTGCTGTGATTACAAGCGTGAGCCACCTCGCCTGGCCCCAGTAACTCTTATAATATAAAATAGATAGAGAAATCTTCAAGTAATACTAACAGATCGAATCCAGAAGCATATAGAAAAGACAAAATCATGACCAAATAGCATTTATCCCAGGAATACAGTTAGTTTAACATTAAAAAATCAACTAATGTAATACTCTTTCAATAGAGTAAAGGATAAAAGTCATACAGTCATCTTTATAAATGCAGAAAAGAATTTGACAAATTCCAACACTCTTTTGTGATAAAAGCATTTAGCAAACTAGGAATCAAAGTGAAATTTCTTAACCTGATAAAGGGTGTCTATGAAAAACCTACAGATAAAATCACCCTTAATGATAAAAGGTAATTATTTTCCTGTAAATGCGGGAACAAGATTAGCATTCCTGCTCTCACCACTTCTATTTAATATTGCACTGGAAATTTTAACCAGGGAAATTAAACAAGAAAAGAAAAGAAAGCCATTCAGATTTGAAAGGAAGCAGCAAAATTTTCTCTATTTTTGTATGATGGGTTTTCATATACAGGAAATCCAAGAATCACTAAACAATAATCAAAACACAAAACATAATGAACAGAAATTTAGATAGTGTTTGTGGATACATAACTGCTTGAGTACTCTAAAAACCACTGAACTGTACACTTTTAGTGAATGAATTTTATGGTATGTGAATCATGTCCCAACAAAGCTATTTAAAAAGATAAAGAAAGTTTTATTCCCTAGGATATTGGTAGCATTTATGTGTCACAGGCTGTGCTATCTCTAAGCTCATCCATGAAGCACAGAGCTTCTGTCTGAGACACTCTCTACATTCTCTAAAACCCTTCCATTTGCCTAGTGGCCACTAGGATTAAATGCCTTTGTGTTTCTGCAAGGTCTATTTGAGGGCAGTAGCTTCAGATTTTTGACAGATATTGTTATACATTTCAGCTATCAGGTCTGACAATCTGATTTCCTTATGGTTCAAATAAATGACAGATTCACTAAGGGAACTCTTGTGAGTTGTCACTATAAATTAATGTGTAGACAGACCCCAATCTGCTCAGCCAAGGCAAGCAGTGGACATTCATCATATAGTGATGGATTGTGGACCAAACTTTATGAATATGTAATATGATAATCTATCTACCCTTGTACTTGTGCATATAGACAATCCAGGTGAGGTGAATCATATGGATATATTTATTCAGAAATGGGATAACCTGGAGGATGGGTTGTGGACCAGACTTTATGAATATGTAATATGATTGTCTACCCATGTATTTGTGCATGTAGACAATCCAGGTGAAGTGAATCATATGGATATATTTATGCAGAAATGGGATAACCTGGGGAGCTGACCTCACTGCAAACGTGTAAATATTAAGAACACGAACAAATGTAAAGGCTCATTTGGCGAAAAATTCATGTACAAATTGGTAAACAATTTTTTATTTGTCTGACATTACTTCCTCAAGTGCAAAGATAAGCTTTATCATTGGATCTAAAATATTTAATTTAAAGACGGACTTTAGCCCAAGATAGGCACTGCTATTTATATGCTTTAAAATCAGTGAAATTACTAATAAAAAGCACAATATTAATGAGTTCATGAAGAAGATGGGTAGTTTTTTTATTTGTGACTTAAGTTTATGGGCTTCATCAACCACACTTTTAAATATGGAAGGAAGGACTAGAGTCTGAGTAATCTCACACCTTCTCAGCCCACCTGTCAGGGCCATTGCTGGGGGAATCAATTTCATCGTGCCTTGAGAGATGGGAGTGGCCTAAAGGTTCATCCTAAGTGTGGCATACATTCCACTGTTGCTATTGTAGGGCACCAACCAGCCCCACCAGAGAGCTCAGCTATTGTGTTTAAAAGTTTCTTGGCTGCCCTGCTTCCTCTTGGAGGTAACCTGTCTCTCTCTCCTCACCAACACATGAAAATGCCATCAGTTAATTATTCCTGATTGTGAATAAGTCTACAATCCATTTTGAGATGGCAGAGAAGCCACTTTTACTTCCACACTTTCAATCTCACTTATTTCCAATCAACCCCACTGTGCTAGGAATTTTACACAAGTAACACATAAAAACGTAGGCATTATTGGGTCTTGAACTCACAGTAGCATGAGAGCCTGGAGTAAAAGGATGAAGTAGGGTAAGAGAGTAAAAGGAAGAATAAAGGAAAAAGAAATTAAAAGAAGGAAGGAAGGAAGGAAAAAAGGAGGGAGAGAGGGAGGGAGAAAGGGAGAGAGAGAGGAAGGGAGGATGGGAGGGAGAGAGGAAGGGAAGAAAGAAAGAAGAATGAAAAAAGGAAGGAAGGAAAAGAGAGACAGAGGAAGGGAGGGAAGATGCTAAATCGCACTGAAGTGCCAGACTGTTCTCATCCTTTACCTGGAGTACAGCAATTGCAGATATCGATGGAAGTTTTGCACAAAATTCATTTTTAGACAAATGTTCCAAAATAACACAATACAATTAACCTTAAAGATATTAAGAGACTGGGGAAATGTCAAGGGGTTTAGTATAAGAGTCCTAGGTTTGAAGCTAGGCTGTGCACATTACAAGTTCAGTGTCCTTTGAGCAAATTTTTAATAAACTCTTCACCTTGTATTCTTTATCTGTAAGAAGGAGATAATAACAGCTACCTCATAGGGTTGGAATCAAAGCAATAACATACATAAAGCAGCAAGAAAAGTATCAGGTACATAGGTGTTCAATAATGCAACTATCATGATTGTTGGGAAGATTAGCCTAGCACCTTCAGTGAAGTAAGGAGGCCCCTCCTAACTTCCAATCAAATATGAATAAAGACAAAGGAAAGAAGAAACTGAAAATAACAGCAGAGACTATTAGGATGAACAGATGGACTGACAACCTAACATTAGAAATCGGAGAAATTTCTACGAACTCTAATGAGTTTAGAACCAGATAGGGCAGAACCCAGACTTTCTTTTATGAAACAGATAGTATCTAAAGAAAGAAAAGCACTTTTACTTCTCCCAATATCTAGCCCCAAATTCAAAGGCTCTCCACTGTCCAAACCAATCTGAAAGCTGAGCAGCTGCCCATCTGCCCCTTGGGTGCTGATTCATGAGGTGACAGCCTCTGCTGTCCTTTCCACATCTGTATGCGGCAACTTTTGGAGCCCAGGGGTACCAACTGGGGCACCTTGCGTACTGGGAGGAATAGGCTCCACAAAGAAAATCTTTTATGTAGACTGGAAACAGACAGCCTGAGAACAGTATAACTGAGATGTGTACCCCAGACACCTGCATTTTCCAATAATTCAAGAGGGTGGTGCACCAGTCACTGGGGTAGGGAAGGCTATCAGCTCCACAAAGCACAGGGCACTAAGCTAATAACGACTGGAAGATGAGTCCTGGAATATGGGGGATGAGGGGTCATCTCCACCAAGAGCAGATACGAGGGAAAGACTCTAACAGCACATAAGTGAGCAGGAGAGAGCTAAAGGCTCTATTTGTTGACAAATACTGAGGATAACAGCTGAGTCACTGTCAGAGAAAAAATAAAGAAGGGAGAAAAATGAAGTATAGGAGAAAAATGCTGCAATGCAGGGGAATGAAAGACATCTGGAAAGTTCTGAGAAAGGCATGTGTCTGAATGTGATTTCATTCAGAAACCAGGAGAAAAATGACAGAAAACTCTGTCTTCTTCAGTAAAGAATTTTTTTAAAAATAGGCTTTATGAAATAGCATGAGGGAGAGCAGAGGCTCCATGATAGTATATGTGGTATACTCCCATAAGCACTGGCAGAGAGTATTTTGTTTTGTTGTTGTTGCTGTGCTTAGCACAATGCCTGGCACAGGGCACATAATAAATATAAATGACATCCAGCAAACATTAACTTTATTTATCTCTGGGTGGAAAAATTACTAGTGATATTTGTCATCCTATTTTTTTACTGCATTTTCTAAAATCTCTACAAAAAAAATGACATGTTTTGAAATAAGAGGAAATGTGCATATGAATTACATGACTTCCTCACTCCTGTTAATCACTGTTGATGCAGATGCTAAATAGCCTCCTTGGTAAAGAACTAACAGTGCCAAGATTCGGGTGCCAGCAGAGCTACAAGCACATCTGGTAAATTGGGTGGGAGTAACCCAGTGGAGTGACATTTCGAGAAGAAATAGGGATCGTTAGGGGAAGAATTTACCCTGAGGGAAGAAGAAATCTGCAGTAATGAGCCAGGCTTGGCAACAAGGCCTGAAGATTGGAGGGTAGCAATAGTGCCACATGGTGGGTGTTACCTGAGAAAATATCTGAACAGCTTGAACCAACACAGGCAGCTGGGCAATCTTCCTTGATGGCAAGAACCTAAAGTAGAGAAGAGTAAGAACCTAAAGTAAAATAGAGAACCTGAAGTAGTAAAGAGAAGTAGAAAAGAAGAGTGGTCCATTGCCCTGCCAGGAACCAATAGTAACAGCAGCTGTATCAATAGCAGGAACCCAAGCAAGTGGGTGAAGATATTACTCAGAGCCGTAAGCCAAAGATGGACCCAGCCCAGGAAAGTGGCAGGCAGTGGTCTGGAGTGGGAAGACATTGGGGAATAAAGGTGGTCAGAAGGCTACCAGGAAAGCGCAGGGGCAAGTTACAATAGGGGAATGAGCTGTGTCAGGGTTAAGAAGCAGCAGCTGACACAAGACTCACTAGACCCACGTCCCAGCCTAGAGCAACCAGTGTTAATGACAGCAGCACCAGTGGAGCAGAAAGCAGTACCTCAAGGACAGGCAATGGCAGCAGGATTGGCCCTGGTCCAGCTGCTGAGGATGCAGACTGACCTAACATCCGAGAACAGTGGAACATCCCTGAGGATGCCCTGGAGGAACTAAGGTCTTGCCATTAAACAGGGACACCCACTGAGCTCATATAGCCTGGGCATTCCCATGGAAGTGACTCCATATCCACCTAGAGACAGGGGATCTCTAGTTACTTTTGAGTTATACAGCATAAGAAATAATTAAGGGGGAAATTAAAGGAAAGAATATTTTCAATGGCTCCTCATTGCCAATCTTCCAAACCTGTTGCAAGATATTCATGATTTGAACCCACACCACTTCTCCAATCTCTTCCCTCTAGTGTGATGCTTTCAAACTGTATTCCTTAGTAGAAAGTTCCAAAACTTTATGCTGTCTGAAGATCTTTCCAGCTCATGTGTTACTTCAGCTTCCAAATCTGAGTGGTTGCCCTCTGTGGGTGTGCAAACATAATGCAGAGATGTGCTAAGCCACAGAGCTGAGGTAATCCATGAACTGAAGAGGGTGCAGAGAGAAAGCTGAACCCTGATACCAGGCAGCCGGACTGCAACCTTGACTCTGCTACTCATTGTCTATGGGATTAGACAGAAACTCATTCAATCTCTTGAGCCTCAGTTTCTTTATTTCTGAAATAGTGAAAGTGATATTTACCTTATAGTTTACAATGAGAAATAACTGGTATAAGGCCATGCTGCCCAGATGTTTTCATGTTATGCATGGTACACAGAAATAGGCTCTCTGTGGCCTGAAGTGTCTGGCCTAGAGGCTCTGTCTGGCTTCACTAGGCCCTTTTCAACCACACCAGACATGAAGGGCATAAATATCTCAACACATCTGCAACTACTTCCTGGTATTCCAGGATCCATGACACTCAAGTAGGGAATATCTGATAAAATGTACACAAAGCACCTACCACAATGCATGACTCAGTGCATTACCTCTATAAATGTTAGTTTCCTGCAGTTATTCCCTGAGCAAAGGATACTTTGCATATTTCTTTAATAATGTTCAAAAATACCATGTTAGCACAGGTACCAAGTGGGCCCTGGTAGAGAAAAGACACCCAAAAAGTACAACACATGCTGGAAAGCTAAAAGAGCCTTTTTACTCTCTTTGCTTAATAACTCGCTCTAAAGTTGGGCCTTAATTCTTTTTTAGCACCAAAAATCTAAAATCTGCTGGCTTCTATGATTTCTCTAAAATGTTGACTTGTTTGTACCGTGTCTTTTTTCAGCAACATTATATTTGCAGCAAGCTAACACCTCCCAAATTCAAGAACAAGAGTAAACCCAAGGCATGAGGACAGATTTTTGCAGAGAGTATTAATATTGATAGGTATCCCTGGGCTGAAGAGGGTCTGAAACCGCAAGGTGATCAAGGTAGTGCCCAGGCACGGTGTTGAGAGTCCATGAGGGAATATGCGTGACTAGGCCCCCTTCTTGGTGAGTAGGTGATCTTGTGCCACCTTCCAGATCTCTCTCAAAGCCCCTTTCTTGTATAGCCCCAGGAAGGCGTGACTTTTCCCCTGTGTTCCCACAGCACATTCTCTCTACCATATTTTTAAACTTCTTCATGAGTTCCTTGAACTTTTTCAACACACTAGGATGATACAGAGTATTTAGAACAGTACAGTGAACACCTCTGTGCCTTCCACCTAAACACTGAGATTCTAGAGTTCTTAGCTCCTCAGTAACTCCGATCTGTGGCCCTTACATCTGTCATCATGTAAGATGGTGCCTTTTTCTGGTTGTAAACCATAGTTGATGCTGTTGGTTCTATCACATCCAGGATCCTGACACATGTTTCTTTCTTCTATGCAGTACTATATGACGCTCAGCTCTGGCTTCGGCTCCCGAGGCCATTTGTGAGTTTCAGAAGTTTATTTCCCAACTAAAATATAAATTGAAGCTTTAATACTCTCTATCCTACAGTCATGCTGCAGGCATGGTCTAAGTGGTTTTACTTATTCTCCTTTCTATAACTATTATTCTTGGAGGATATGTGGAAAAACTAATTTGGTGGCTTCCATTATTGTAACTCAGGGGTTCCCAACCCCCAGGCCATGAACCATTCCATGGCCTGTTAGGAACTGGGCTGCACAGCAGAAGGTGAGCAGTGGGCAAGCAAAGCTTCATCTGTATTTACAGTCACTCCCCTTTGCTTGCATTAACACCTGAGCTCTGCTTCTTGTCAAATCAGCAGTGGCATTAGATTCTCATAGGAACACAAACCCTACTGTGAACTGCACATGCAAGAGATCTATGTTGCATGCTCCTTATGAGGCTCTAATGCCTGATGATTTGTTCCTGTCTCCCATCACCCCCAGATGGGACCATCTAGTTGCAGGTAAACAGGCTCAGGGCTCCCACTGATTCTATATTATGTGCTGTAAAATTATTTCATTATATATTTATATATTACAGTGTAACAATAATAGAAACAAAGTGCACAATAAATGAAATGCACTTGAATCATCCCAAAACCATCCCCTTCCCCAGTCCATGGAAAAATCGTCTTCTACAAAATGGGTCTCTGGTGCCAAAAATGTTGGGGACCACTGTTCTAACTGCCTTCTCTTTTGTGTGTGCCTTGTCTCCATGACATTGAGAGAATAATAAATTTGATCTGTGTTTTGCCAGTATTTTATTGAGGATTTTTGCATCAATGTTCATCAAGGATACTGGTCTAAAATTCTCTTTTTTGGTTGTGTCTCTGCCCGGCTTTGGTATCAGGATGATGCTGGCCTCATAAAATGAGTTAGGGAGGATTCCCTCTTTTTCTATTGATTGGAATAGTTTCAGAAGGAATGGTACCATTTCCTCCTTGTACCTCTGGTAGAATTCGGCTGTGAATCCATCTGGTCCTGGACTCTTTTTCGTTGGTAAGCTATTGATTATTGCCACAATTTCAGATCCTGTTATTGGTCTATTCAGAGATTCAACTTCTTCCTGGTTTAGTCTTGGGAGAGTGTATGTGTCGAGGAATTTATCCATTTCTTCTAGATTTTCTAGTTTATTTGCGTAGAGGTGTTTGTAGTATTCTCTGATGGTTGTTTGTATTTCTGTGAGATCGGTGGTGATATCCCCTTTATCATTTTTTATTGCGGCGATTTGATTCTTCTCTCTTTTTTTTCTTTATTAGTCTTGCTAGTGGTCTATCAATTTTGTTGATCCTTTTAAAAAACCAGCTCCTGGATTCATTGATTTTTTGAAGGGTTTTTTTTTGTCTCTATTTCCTTCAGTTCAGCTCTGATTTTAGTTATTTAGTTATTTCTTGCCTTCTGCTAGCTTTTGAATGTGTTTGTTCTTGCGTTTCTAGTTCTTTTAATTGTGATGTTAGGGTGTCAATTTTGGATCTTTCCTGCTTTCTCTTGTGGGCATTTAGTGCTATAAATTTCCCTCTACACACTGCTTTGAATGTGTCCCAGAGATTCTGGTATGTTGTGTCTTTGTTCTCATTGGTTTCAAAGAACATCTTTATTTCTGCCTTCATTTCGTTATGTACCCAGTAGTCATTCAGGAGCAGGTTGTTCAGTTTCCATGTAGTTGAGCGGTTTTGAGTGAGTTTCTTAATCCTGAGTTCTAGTTTGATTGCACTGTGGTCTGAGAGACAGTTTGTTATAATTTCTGTTCTTTTACATTTGCTGAGGAGAGCTTTACTTCCAAGTATGTGGTCAATTTTGGAATAGGTGTGGTGTGGTGCTGAAAAAAATGTATATTCTGTTGATTTGGGGTGGAGAGTTCTGTAGATGTCTATTAGGTCCGCTTGGTGCAGAGCTGAGTTCAATTCCTGGGTATCCTTGTTAACTTTCTGTCTCGTTGATCTTTCTAATGTTGACAGTGGGCAAACCGAATCCAGCAGCACATCGAAAAGCTTATCCACCATGATCAAGTGGGCTTCATCCCTGGGATGCAAGGCTGGTTCAATATACGCAAATCAATAAATGTAATCCAGCATATAAACAGAACCAAAGACAAAAACCACATGATTATCTCAATAGATGCAGAAAAGGCCTTTGACAAAATTCAACAGCCCTTCATGCTAAAAACTCTCAATAAATTAGGTATTGATGGGACGTATCTCAAAATGATAAGAACTATCTATGACAAACCCACAGCCAATATCATACTGAATGGGCAAAAACTGGAAGCATTCCCCTTGAAAACTGGCACAAGACAGGGATGCCCTCTCTCACCACTCCTATTCAACATAGTGTTGGAAGTTCTGGCCAGGGCAATTAGGCAGGAGAAGGAAATAAAGGGTATTCAAGTAGGAAAAGAGGAAGTCAAATTGTCCCTGTTTGCAGATGACATGATTGTATATCTAGAAAACCCCATTGTCTCAGCCCAAAATCTCCTTAAGCTGATAAGCAACTTCAACAAAGTCTCAGGATACAAAATCAATGTACAAAAATCACAAGCATTCTTATACACCAATAACAGACAAACAGAGAGCCAAATCATGAGTGAACTCCCATTCACAATTGCTTCAAAGAGAATAAAATACTTAGGAATCCAACTTACAAGGGATGTGAAGGACCTCTTCAAGGAGAGCTACAAACCACTGCTCAATGAAATAAAAGAGGATACAAACAAATGGAAGAACATTCCATGCTCATGGGTAGGAAGAATCAATATCATGAAAATGGCCATACTGCCCAAGGTAATTTACAGATTCAATGCCATCCCCATCAAGCTACCAATGACTTTCTTCACAGAATTGGAAAAAACTACTTTAAAGTTCATCTGGAACCAAAAAAGAGCCCGCATCGCCAAGTCAATCCTAAGCCAAAAGAACAAAGCTGGAGGCATCACGCTACCTGACTTCAAACTATATTACAAGCCTACAGTAACCAAAACAGCATGGTACTGGTACCAAAACAGAGATATAGATCAATGGAACAGAACAGAGCCCTCAGAAATAATGCCACATATCTACAACCATCTGATCTTTGACAAACCTGAGAAAAACAAGCAATGGGGAAAGGATTCCCTATTTAATAAATGGTGCTGGGAAAACAGGTTAGCCATATGTAGAAAGCTGAAACTGGATCCCTTCCTTACACCTTATACAAAAATCAATTCAAGATGGATTAAAGACTTAAACATTAGACCTAAAACCATAAAAACCCTAGAAGAAAACCTAGGCATTACCATTCAGGACATAGGCATGGGCAAGGACTTCATGTCTAAAACACCAAAAGCAATGGCAACAAAAGCCAAAATTGACAAATGGGATCTAATTAAACTAAAGAGCTTCTGCACAGCAAAAGAAACTACCATCAGAGTGAACAGGCAACCTACAAAATGGGAGAAAATTTTCGCAACCTACTCATCTGACAAAGGGCTAATATCCAGAATCTACAATGAACTCAAACAAATTTACAACATAAAAACAACCCCATCAAAAAGTGGGCAAAGAATATGAACAGACACTTCTCAAAAGAAGACATTTATGCAGCCAAAAGACACAGGAAAAAATGCTCATCATCACTGGCTATCAGAGAAATGCAAATCAAAACCACAATGAGATACCATCTCACACCAGTTAGAATGGCAATCATTAAAAAGTCAGGAAACAACAGGTGCTGGGGAGGATGTGGAGAAATAGGAACACTTTTACACTGTTGGTGGGACTGTAAACTAGTTCAACCATTGTGGAAGTCAGTGTGGCAATTCCTCAGGGATCTAGAACTAGAAATACCATTTGACCCAGCCATCCCATTACTGGGTATACACCCAAAGGACTATAAATCATGCTGCTATAAAGACACATGCACACATATGTTTATTGTGGCACTATTCACAATAGCAAAGACTTGGAACCAACACAAATGTCCAACACTGATAGACTGGATTAAGAAAATGTGGCACATATACACCATGGAATACTATGCAGCCATAAAAAATGATGAGTTCATGTCCTTTGTAGGGACATGGATGAAATTGGAAATCGTCATTCTCAGTAAACTATCACAAGGACAAAAAACCAAACACTGCATGTTCTCACTCATAGATGGGAATTGAACAATGAGAACACATGGACACAGGAAGGGGAACATCACACTCTGGGGACTGTTGTGGGGTGGGGGGAGGGGGGAGGGATAGCATTGGGAGATGTACCTAATGCTAAATGACAAGTTAATGGGTGCAGCACACCAGCATGGCACATGTATACACATGTAACTAACCTGCATATTGTGCACATGTACCCTAAAACTTAAAGTATAATAATAATAATAATAATAAAAAGAATAAATCTAAACTCACTGTATTAAACAGACCCCCCACCTCCCAAAAAAATTTGGTGAGAGTTTCTCAGGAGCCATTTGGGAAATCTGAGTGTGTGAACCATCATGAAGGGTTGTTTTAGGTCCTTCTTAAGAGGGCCACCAAGAAGAAGAAATAGAGCTCGGCAGCTGAGAAGCTGAAGGTTATTTCTAGAATTCTAGAGGCTAAGAGAGAGTAAGAGATACACTAACCCAGAAAGAACTGTAGGTAAGAGATGTGCAGAACAGGGGATCTCCAAAGACCCATGAAAATGTAAGAGAAAGTCAACTTTAAAAATCTGTTAAGCCCAGAAAAAGTAAAAGCCTCTTATGACAATAGCAGTCAAGTAGGAACATTTCTATTCCATTTCCTTTTCCCTCATTTTTCCAAGCTCCAACTCCGCAGAGGTCAGAAATAGAGACTGTTGAGTTAGGGAAAAAATGAACAAGGAAGGGAAAAAAAGCCCCTGGGATCCCTTCACCCATGATAAGTCACCCAGCAGCAGTACACTCTGGGAGAAGGGAAGTAGCTGTAAACATAAAAAGAGATGTAAGCTATGATTATCATAAGAGATAAGAAAGCATTTACTCACTTAAAGGGAACACAGGAGTTTAGGAGTGATCAGATTCAAATTTTCTATCATGGGCTGTCACTGAATAAGGATGGTGGGAGCTAATAATAAAGTCCTTTTGTGATTATCAAAAAAAAGAAATTTGATCTGTGTAACTCCAAAGGACACACCTGTGACATAAGGATGGATATTACGAAGAGGTAGATTCTGACTCTAAACATAAAAGGTCTTCGTTATTTTTATCTTACATATATTTATTTATTTAGTTTTACAGATTTGGAGGGCCCGGAGTGTAGTTTTGTTACATTGATATATTGTGTGGTGATGAAAGTCTGAGCTCTTAGCATAACCATCACCCAAATAGCGTACATTACACTCAATAGGTAATTTCTCATCCTTCACCCCACTCCCACCCTCCCAGCTTTCTGAGATTCCAATGTCTATTATTCTACCCTGCATATCCATGAGTACACATTATTTACTTGACTTTCAGTCAAGTAAAATGAGAACATTCAGTACTTGACTTTCTATTCTGAGTTATTTTACTCAAGATAATGATCTTCAGTTCCATCCATGTTGCTGCAAAATGAATTCATTCATTTTTATGGTTGAGCAGTATTCCATGATGTGTGTGTGTGTGTGTGTGTGTGTGTGTGTACACACATGGTATGTATATATATCTATATCATATTTTCTTGATCTAATCCTCCATTGATATTCACTTAATTTGATTCCATACCTTTTCTATTGTGAATAGCACTGCAATAAACACATGAGTGCAAGAATCTTTTTGATATAATGATTTCTTTTCCTTTAGGTATATACCCAGTAGTAGAATTGCTGGATCAAATCGTAGTTCTAATTTTGTTCTTTGAGAAATCTCCATACTGTTTTCCATAGAGGTTCTACTAATTTATCTTCCCACCAACGGTTTATAAGCATTCCCTTTTCTCTGCATCCTAGGCAACATCTGTTATTTTTTGACTTTTTAATAATAGCTGTTCTGACTGGTATAAGATGGTATCTCATTGTGGTTTTAATGTGCATTTCTCTAATGACGGGATATTGAGAATTTCCTCATATGCTTGTTGCCCATTTGTATGTCTTCTTTTGAAAAACATGGACAGTCTTTTTAAATTGCGAGAGCTGTCCAGGAAGGTAGGAATGCATATTAGAAAGTTACTGTATTCCAAATTTCTGAATGACATTGCAGAAAGATCAAATTAGCCTCCTGCTTTAAAGAGCCTCACATTTTAGCAAGAGAGACGCATACATTAAGAAATAAATTCAATCAGGGCTTATAGCCCTTAGGACAGGAGCATGCACAGGTCGTGTGGCAACAATTGAGGGGAAGGCAGTTGAATCTACTATAGGATGCAAGTATCAGATGGGAATATTGAATGTCCTCAACTAAGATTTTTTTCTACCCATTGAGCTGCCTTTTGGATTTTATTTTTTATGAAAATAAAACTTGTACTTAAGACTCCTCCCCCAGTGACCCATTGTGTTGGCTTTGAAACTTCTTTTCCTCTAGCCATAACTAAGAAATTTATGGACAGAGTATGAGATGTGAGCACATTAGAAGGCAGCCAGAGCACATTATTTGTCTAAAATAAGCAACTGACATTTAAAAAGCTAGAGGCAAGGCAAGAAAGATGTATCTCAGGCTACTGCCTTACACTCATGTTCTTCCCTGGGGAGAACAGCATAAGAAATAATCACCTACTTTAGACATTTCTCCAGAAAGAAAGAAATGACCAGTTATTTACCTGGCAGATTTCTGGATTAGCCAACATAAACTTGGATTATGAACTAGGGAACTAGGGAGCTTTTCTCCTGTCATTAAGGAAGGAACTAGATCCTTGAACCCACATGCAAATAAAGTTCAATTTAAAGAGGACATTTAAAGATTAATTTTTAAAGGGTAAAATCATGACTCTCATATAAAAATAAACTTAGCATGAATCAAAGATTTTACTGAACTCACTAATGAGATGACCAATAAGATGTTGCAACCAATTCAGAGGAGAATTAAAACATGTATATATTTATATATCTATACATATGTGTGCATATACACATACCATCAGGAATGCTAAAATATACTTTAAAATGGATAAAAACTGACTTTTCCAAGGGAATGAGAGGAGAAATCAATTGTCTTTTTCAGTAGACAAAATGCATTTGCATATCTGTGAATGAAATCATTTGCACTAGGTATTTGTAATTTAAGACACTGAAAAAACAAAGACATGGGAAAGCACAAAGACTGAATAAAAGCAGCAACCAAGATGACCATCTCTACTTTCCCACTGAATTCACCCAGCAATATTTTTGTTTCATTTCCAAGTTTTTCACAGTTTCCCTCCATGGACTAACTCCCAGGCAGCTGGCTTAAGGTGCCTGTAGGTCGTTATCCTAAGAGATTGAATAATCTCCACAAGGTCACCAGAGTCAGAAACTCCAGCAACATTTCCTTGCTCTTCCTCTTCCCTCACATTCAAACTGCAGCTCTTCTCTCAATCTGACCTCAGAAATAAATCACTTGTGTTTGTGTCCCTGTGTCCCATCTCTCCACAGCTGTTGTCTCCAAGCTTTCATCACCCCCCCATGTATACCATTAGCTATGGATGAATTCCAGTGTATCCTAAGCATTTGTAGAACAAGGTTGTAGTATCCATAAATGAAGGGAGAGATTAACAAGACAACGTCTGTCAGGAAACTGCCCCTGTTCTGTTATGCCTATGGTTATCTCTTCTGTGCAGCCCTCCTTAACTCCACCTATTCTGACAAATATTTAGTGTTTCCTTCTCTGTGCTCCAAAAACCCCTCATTTGCTCCTCTTTTAAGGCCCCGTCTCTGATTTGTTCCAGATCTGGTTTTGTAGACACCTGTCTTCCTGCACTGTAGAAGGCAGCCTCCTTGAAAGTAAGGGTCATGTTTGTAGCATCCTCATGCCTCCCCCAAACTCACTTGATTTTTAGTGAAAGGTCAGACAATTCAATGAAGTTGTAAAATAATTTATTGGATACCATTAAATAAGACCTGGAAAGTGAAATTGAAATAAACTGCTTTACAATGACGGCCAGAGTAGAAGCTGAGCTGTGCTAAAGATGGAAACAAACAAAAGATCAGGGTTCAAGGGCTCACTGACGTGTCAGAGAACCTCAGGGAGCAAATAATTTTTAACCTCCTTCAGTGGTTTCCCCAATTTTAAAGGACAAGATTATCTCATTAAACAAAGGCCCCTACAAGACTGGGCCCACCTGTGAACCTAAACAGTCTCAACATTTTTTCACTCACTACGTAAGACACTTGGTTTACGTAGGATTTACATAGGATACTTGGAATTTTCCAGACATGACATGCGATTTTAAAACCCATGTCTTTGTACATTCTGTCTGAAATGTTCACTTTACTATTTTAGGCTTTAACAACAAATGTCTTCTCTTTTGTGAAACTTTTCCTGACCTGCCCTAATATACGGTTGATTACTCTGACCCCTCTGTATCCTTTTTTGCCTCCTTACTTGTAAATCAAATTCAATGAGACTCATGAAGACAACTGGATTTGGTCTTCCAGATATTAAAATGGCTCCCTCCAGCTACACAGAGAACACAGAAAATTCAGAAATTTGTTAGGTAGGCTCACATCTTTACAGTCATATTTTCTTTTGTTTGGAGAGGTCTCTGAATTCTAACTCTCCCAACCTCTCTCCCTTTCCTTAATCATTTATCCCCCAGGGAGGATGAATGACTTTACTCAACTGTGAAGTAGAAAAAATTGCGAATGAGAAGCTAAATCTCTCAGTTCCTTTTTCTCCTTGGAAACTCACGACCTCCTGAAAGTACACATTCTGCTCTTCTTCCCCATGCTATAAATTTACAGTCCAGAACCCAATGTGAGGAGGTCTCAGGGTTTTCTATGGTGTTCAATAGCTCATTATTATATTAATAGCCTGCCTAAGCCACATTCTCAACATGAGTTTAATTTCAGTAATGAAAATAATATCTCAATCTCTGCCTTGGAGTCAGAGAAGTGTGTTATTTCCTGGGTCCCCTAGGTTCTCAAGAGTATTGCCCTGCCTGGCAGAAGCACACTCCCAGCTCCCAAATAAATCTTGGACTTGGTTTACTTAGATTTAGTTACTTATTTGGTTTACTTAGACTTAGTTTACTTGGACTTAGTACTTGGAGTACTGAGAGGACCTGGGAGGGTGGAGGGTTGGGAAGAGGCAAGTCATGTTCTCTAGCTTGTCCTTGGGAAGGTTTCCTCTCCTCAGAACATTTCTTCTCCTATAGAAACCTGCGTGGAGCACATAAACACCACAATCACACAGTCTATTTCTAGAAACTGTTAATGGAGGAAAACATTTTACTTTGCCTTTTTTCCCCCTTACCTAGACCGTCCTCTATCACAGCTCACAAAAGCCTTCCATACAATTATTGTAATCTGACAGGCACTTCACAATTTCCCTAAGCTCTTAAGTGGATTTACTTCCTTTACATCTTTCATTTTCAAAAGAGTAATTGGAATGAGTCAGTCTCTCCTATTGCCTCCAATTTGCCAAACATCCTCCTTCAGGAAGACTTAAGACAGGTACTGTTTTGGACTTACTATGTATTTGTAATCAGAGACAGAAAAACAATCTTAGATTTGGCATTTCCAGTTTCAATTTTGCTCCAGTTAACTCAGTGTTGGCCGGAGTTTCAACAGATCACTCCGATTATCTCAGTCCTTCACAGTCCTTCCCATTTATGCAAGACTGATTCGCAACTATTGTCCTACTTTAGTCCAATTTTCCTTTTCAAGTTTATTTCTCACAATAATACAAACTTCCTACTTAGTCAATCTTGTGCTTTCCTTGTTTCCGAAAAAAAAAAAAACTTACAAATTCTTCCTTATGTGCTTTCTCTTCTGTGGTTCTCCATTGAGAATATTTTTTTTCCTGCTGATCCAAGTCTACCCTTCAAAGGCCAGTTCTACTCTTACTTCCTCTAAGAAGATGTCAATCCTACCCTATAAATACCATATAATACTTAGATGAATCAGTCATGTTTTATTTGCAAATACGGCCTCATGGCTAAATTGCTTTCACTTGTTACTAATATTATCTCTTATATAATATCCTGAGAGTCATACACCTCAAGGATCTCATAGAGTTATCAGGAATTCAGAAAAGTAAACAGATCATCACTGTTCATTGTGGAATGCATGTGTTGATAAAGGAAAGTATAGGGCTCTTTAAGAGTACAAGTGAGGGGTAATTACCCAAGGTCAGGAAAGATTTTTTGCATTGAGTATAAGGAGCTATGCATTGCTCATTAGATAGCTAAAAGCAATAGTGTCTCAACCTAGAGGGAGAAGCGTGTGCAAAGACCCAGAGGAGCAAGCAGGCCTGCCAAATATAAGGATTTGCAAGCAGGAACAAATGGTTTGGGGCAGGGTGCCAGGGTGGGTGTTTGGTAGAGCTGGAGAGAGCCAAACCTGGTGGCGTAGGAGCCAGAGTGTGAATGCTCTTGCTGGCTAAGACACAGAGCTTCGCATATAACACAAGCACAGGGGGCATGATGGAAAACTCCATTTGTTTGCAATTCTCATGATCAGAGACTCTAGAAAAAGCACTTTCTGCATTAGATGAATGCCAAGCGGACAGAACTGGTTTTTCTTTACTAATCAGGAGATTGTTGCAGGAACCCAGACAAAAAATGAGGACAGCACAGTCTGCCCTATGCCCTTAGTTATTTCATGAGGTCAACATTGTCTCCTGAATGGCTTCACTAAGTGCCACAAGGGCAAGAACTGGGCCTGATTTATTTCTGCCTGAAAGTGCCCAGCAGGGTAGAGGCATGTAGTAGGCCTCTGCAGGGATGCTGAATTCAAACAGTCATCCTTTATCTTCTTCCTGCTTATTGTCTTCTTCCTGCTTACTTATCTAGGGGGCACAAGACTGGATGTGAAGTGCAGAAATAGTGTCTACATGTCACATCTACCATTTAAGATTTGTTTTTATAAAATGTTAAGTACATACAAGAGAAAAATTACCAAGACAATAAAACGAACTTCCTAGATTCAAGTGGGATGTTATAAAATGGTACATTATGAGTGCCTTGGGTGCACCTAAGCTTCTGTTTTATCATTGTCATACTTTTCTTTATAGTTTAGTCACATCATGATGTATATTCTCGAACCGTATATAGTCATGCTTTGCATATTTTTGAACATTATAAAAACAGATTCATATTGTATGCATTATTCCAACACTTGCTTTTTTCAATCAATATTCTGTTTCTGAGATTCAGCCATACTGACGCATTCCTTTTCACTGCTCCGTACCATTAATTAAATGATACGTTTACAATGTGTTTGTACATTTCTCTAAAAGCAGATAGGTAGACTGTTTTTTGGACATTGCAAGGTTGCTATGATAAACTTCTCCCAATGGAGTTACTAATATCTGATTCTGTGACTAGTATCAAAATTTATAAACTTTCAATTTTTAGTGACCTTGATATTGGAAATGTAAATGACAATTGTACAGATGAGAAGTTTTCAATATGAGTGTTTAGAGAAAAGAATAATTGCTGATACCACCTTTCTAAATAGAATAAAAATTAAGTGGAACTTCACAGAACATTTTCATTTCTGTGACCATAAGAATACAATAAAGCAATAGTAGTGTTAGAAATGAGCCCCGATGGAGCAAAGATCTTATATAATGTTAAATATTGCCTCTAATTATTTTGCTTTCACATTTTCATCTATATCTACTGATAATTGATGAGAAGATCTCCAGAGGGTTATAAACTGCCTGATTATAAAGCTTGTAAATGTAACTTCTAACCACAAAGATTACAAAACATATGCTGTATGTTATGAGATATTGTAACTATTCTCTTAAAAGATTACAAAAAAATTGTGCTAGGAAACTGAATTTTCTTACTTAAGCTATAATTCACCATCCTTGTGTTCATTAATTCACTTGTGTTAAATAATTCATCACTGTATATGCTATGTTTGGTTTTTGTTAATCAAAGAGCATTTTGACTGCCTCTCATCTACAGTGATGGTCATTGAAGCCTCCCCTGCAGGCTCTGGTCAAACACAAAGTGAGGCTAGATGTCATTCCCAGTGACCTTGGGCAAAGCAATCTACCTGAGCCTCAGATTTCTTTAAAATAGGTATTATAATCAACTTTGCCTTCCTTAGATAACCAAGAAGATCAAGTAATATCAAGCATGCAGAAGTGCTTCATAATTAGTAAAATTCTGGACAAATGCAATCGATGATGATGACAGTGACAAGGAGAATTATGTTACCATTATGCCCAACTAAATAAGCCACAAAAAGACATAAAGCTTTTTATAGGGAATGCAGGTAGATATTAGGGTTCAAACAGAATCTTCAAATTTTCCATTCAGTAGGTGTGTCCGTCTGTGAAGCACAGTGTTATGGATAAAACTGTTCCCCTAACATTCATATGTTCAAGTCTTGACTCCCAGTACTTCAGAATCTGACCTTATTTCAAAATAAAGTCGATGCAGATGCAATTAGTTAGGTTATGATGAGATCATCACCTGGAGTGGAATGGACTCCTACTCCAATATGACCAGTGTTTTCATAAAAAGGGAAAATTTGTATGCAGACATACACATGAGTGTAATTACATGTGAAGCTGAAGGCAGAGATCAAGGTGGTGCTTCTATATGAAGGCGAAGATCAAGGTGGTACTTCTATATGTTAAGAAATGCCTAAGATTGCCAGAAAGAAAAGCCACCAGAAATTACATGAGAGTCATGGAACACATCCTTCCTTACAACCCTGAGAAGGAAGCAACACTGTCAACACCTTCATCTCAGACTCCTGGCTTTCAAAACAGTGAGGTGATAAATTTCTGTAAGCCACCCATACTTTTTTTACAGCAACCTTAGAATGCCAACACACATAGACCGCTGCTTACGATATTATATTATTAAGGAAAATCATTGCAGTATTTGGTCAGATTTATAAACGTCTTTCAAAGTAACAGAATGATGCCAAGCACAGTGGCTCACGCCTGTAATCCCAGCACTTTGGGAGACTAAGGCAGGAAGATTGCTTGCATCCAGGAGTTCAAGCCGAGTCTGGGCAACACAGTGAGACCCTGTATCTTCAAAACATAAAATGTTAGCCAGGTGTGGTGGTGCATGCATGTGGTCCCAGCTACTTGGGAGGCTGAGGTGGAAGGATTGCTTGAACCCATGAAGTTGAGGCTGCAATGAGCCGTGATTACACCACTGCACTCCAGCCTGGGTGACAGAGCAAGCCCCTGTCTCTAAAATGATTAAAGTAACAGAATGGATGACCAATACTAATGCCAGGGAGCTGATGGTTATAATACTCTTACATAGAGAATATTAGTGACAAATCAGCATGAAAAAATGGTCAACCTCATCATTATGCAAAGGATTTGAAAAAATTACTTTTTTTCACCCTAATAACAAAGTAAAGATAACTTGATGCAATATACTCCGTGCTGTGGAGCAGTTGATGAAATATCTGCTCTCATATTCTATTTGTGAAATAGTAGTTGGCATAATCTTTCTTAAAATCAAGTTGGCACAACCTATTAATTATCATAAAATACAATCTCAAACTTCGGGTAATCCATCTTAAGAAACTATAATATTTACATGCAGAATTATAGATAAAAGATAAGAATTTTAGTGTTACTTTTGTTAGTATAAGAAAGAAAACAACCTAATGCCCAAATAACATGGAGATTGTTTAAATCTATCATGATGTGTTTTTATTTGAATTATTTTTAAGGATGTTTAAAACATATTGATAAGTCACCAATACAGAATACATACAAAACAGGGTTTCTCAAAATCTAGTACAGAGATCACTGGGGTCCCCGAGGGCCTTTTAAGGGGTTTATGAAGTCAAAACTATTTTCATGATAATGCTAAGACATTATTGGCCTTCTCAATCTTATTCTTTTTTTTTTTCTTTTTTTTTGAGACAGGGTCTTGCTCTGTCACCCAGGCCTGAGTGCAGTAGCACGACCTTGGCTCACTGCAACCTCCGCCCCCCAGGTTCAAGCAATTCTTCTGCCTCAGCCTCCCGAGGAGCTAGGATTACAGGCATGTACCACCATACCTGGATAATTTTTGTATTTTTAGCAGAGACAGGGTTTCACCATTTCTGCCAGGCTGGTCTCGAACTCCTGATCTTGTGATCCACCCGCCTTGGCCTCCCAAAGTGATGGGATTACAGGTGCGAGCCACTGCGCCCGGCCTCAATCTTATTCTTTGATGAGAGTATAGTGAAGTTTTTTAGAGGCTGTAGGTAATATCACAATTATCTTAAAAGGCTATTTACCTACTCCCCTCTTTTCCAATTTTACATTTGTATGAGGCTGGATTTTCTTCATGAACTTTATCCAGAGCACTATATCATAATGGGTTTAATGCAGAAGCAGATGTGAGAATCTAGCTGTTTTCTGCTAAGTCAGACACAAAAAGATTTGCGAAGCAATGCCATTATGTTCACTAAGTTTTTGTTGTCTTTTACTAAAATATGTTACTTGAGTTAATTAACATGTAATAGGTTTATTATTGCAATTTTAAATAAATTTTAAAGGCCGAGTGCAGTGGCTCACACCTGTAATCCCAGCACTTTGGGAGACCGAGGCTGGCAGATCACGAGGTCAGGAGATGGAGACCACGATGAAACCCCGTCTCTACTAAAAATACAAAAAATTAGCCGGGTGCGGTGGCGGGCGCCTGTAGTCCCAGCTACTCGGGAGGCTGAGGCAGGAGAATGGCGTGAACCCGGGAGGCGGAGCTTGCAGTGAGCGGAGATTACGCCACTGCACTCCAGCCTGGGCGACGGAGCGAGACTCCATCTCAAAATAAATAAATAGACAAATAAAAATAAATAAATAAATAAATTTTAAAAGTATACTTTTTCTCCAGTTTAACATACAACAGTAAATATCAACAAAACACATAAACAAAACCTTTGCAATCCCCCAAAATTTATAAGATATAAAGAGGTTCTAAGGTCAAAAAGCTTTAGAACTCATGTCAGAAACTATTGTTTCACCTCTATAAGAAAGAACTGGGAAAGATGTGCTGAATTGTTGCGACTAAGATGAATTGCTAAGACTAATTATCTACAGTTGTTGGGTTTAAGGGTCATTGTTATTTTAGCATCTTTATTTTTCTGTGTTTCCAAAATTTTCCACTTTAGAATGGATTTCTTTTACGTCAGATGAAGGGTGATTTTCTTTTAATTTGTACTTTTATTCTTTACCTTAAAAAAAAAAAACTCTTTACCCTTAAGCCATCATTTAGAACCTAAAATTGTAGAGTGTCTCTTAATTACACTTGCATAGAGAGTCTCAGCTCATAAAATTCTGCCAGATTTAAGATCTGCAGGCAAATTATCCATAAGCTATATAGAGGTAGAATTTATAAATGTAAATTGCACTGCACCAGCATTTTCCAGAGAAATGGTCTTTAAAACACCACTGAGCAGAGGAGGTATCTTCCAGAGGATATTCATGACAAGGCTAAGATAAAAATTCATTTTGTGTTTACTTATTCATAGATTTTATTACTAAAGAATCTTAAAAATTGGCCTTAAATCTTATCTGTTTCAAAATCTCACTAGTACAGCAAGTCCCCAACTAGGGCTAACCATCAGTTTGCCTGGGTACTCCAAATGACCAAAGATTTTGGCTTACACATTTCACTATTAAACAGTTTTGATTATTTAAAAAAATCTAGCTGAGTGTGGTCCTCTTAATGTCTACAAGTTAATGTGTGTGATTGTGGGCTAGCTCCACAGGTCAAGCATCATATTCTCCTTTTTTTTCTCTTTCTCTTTGATACAGAGTCTCTCTCTCTGTAGCCCAGGCTGGGGTGCAATGGCATGATCATAGCTCACTGTAACCTTGAACTCCTGGACTCAAGGGATCCTCCCGTCTTGGCCTTACAAAGTGATAAGATTACAGGTGTGAGCCACTAAACCCAGGAAGCATCACGTTTTCAATGTGTTGTGAGAATAATAGCTTATGTTTTCAGAGTTGTTTTGAGGATTATGCAGCATAATATGTAAAACAAACCTTGCAGTGCCTCACATAAAATTGGTGCATAACTCATGCACAATACACATTGTTGTTTTTGTATTTTCAAATACTCCCAAACTGATTTTGGAGCCAGGCAAAATGCCCCCCACCCCATTTTCTTAAGAACATTCTAGGATCTGCTTACCTCTCTCTGATTAATCCTGCCCACTGTTCTATTCCCAGTTTTTACATCCTCCAGCAAACCTTCCCCGCCTACCCAGGATTTCTCTCCTGTTTTCCAGAGCTTCTAGAGCATATACTGGTTGTCTGGGATCCCTTCTGCTGTCCCCTGAACCGTACCACAACCTTCTTAACAGGCTGGACTCAGTCTTCTGATTCCTTCCTTATCTCCCAGTGGGTGCCTAGCATAGCCTTCCTATGGACTGACACATCATCTCTTCTATGGATTTGTTCAACATTTCTCCTCTTGAGAATTTGGGATAATTTTAGTCTCTTTGCTTATATCCAATGGAATAATTATTAGACTAAATTAAATTCCCACTTTCCCTTTCTACAATGATGGAATTTTACTTTCTGTTAGAATAAGAATCTTTGGCCAAATCCAAAGAAATGTGATTAGCATTTTGCCATTTCTCTATCCTTTGGGATTACTCAATGCCCCAGACCAATTCTCACTCAGAAAAGTTTTCATACATACAAACTCCCAATGCCAATAACTCCTCAAATGCTTTGCCATTAATTTCATCCACCTCTCAGCAGAAGACTGTAATGTCCCAGAACTATATGGAGAATAGGGAGCAGTGAGAATCTTATATATGTAATGCATGTTACTATTGTGGTCTTTGTCCTTAGATTGGAAACTTAGAGATTCCAAATAAGCTAAGACTAGCTTCCAGAGTACCCCATGCCAAAACTCAAAATTCCTGAAGATATATAAGCCAGAAAGACACATATCTTTTATGTTTTTTACCTCTATCACAGGGCACTCTAAGTGAAGACATGTTTGTTTAAACACAGGGGAAAAAAACATCACACAATTGCTATCAAAAAAAAAAAAAAAAAATCTGTCGTATACCATTTTGCTTGGAAGAGTCCAGAGTGGAAGGAGAGTAACAGAGTTCAAAATTTCTGAGTTTATATTAAATTATCTTTTAAAGAAGAACTATGTATGAGTATAGAAATTAGATCTCAAAAATATCTTGAGGGCGGGGTGCAGTGGCTCACGCCTGTAATCCTAGCACTTTGGAAGGCCAAGGCAGGCAGATCACCTGAGGTTGGGAGTTCGAGACCAGCCTGACCAACATGGAGAAACCCCGTCTCTACTAAAAATACAAAATCAGCTGGGCGTGGCAGCACATGCCTGTAATCCCAGCTACTCGGGAGGCTGAGGCAGGAGAATCGCTTGAACCCGAGAGGCAGAGGTTGCAGTGAGCGGATATCACACCATTGTACTCCAGCCTGTGCAACAAGAGAGAAACTCCATCTCAAAAAAAAAAAAAATTATCATGAGGTAACATATGAAAGCACCTTGAACGCAGCCCAGTGCACCATAGGGTCAAGATTAATGCTGCCATCATCTTATCTCCCTCTCTTCTGCATGTTATGCAAAACCTGAACTATTTTTGTTACTATAGCATAGAGTGGAGAACTTGCCGACTATTTCAACATGGGGAAACTATTGCTCATATTCTTCACAGCACGTCACTCTCCCACATTTACTCATCACAGTGAAAGTTGTAAGATGACAATCAGTCGTTATTGTTTTCATATTCTTCTTTACGGTTAGCAATTTTGATATTTCATAGAGAATTGGACAGACTTTCTGAAAGTTCGATTTTTTTGAGGTTTCAGTCTTATAATGCCAGGTCCCATAGTCAGTGGTCACCAGCCTGCATCTTTCTCACCTTCATTATTTTCACCAGACCCCTTAAATTGATGTTGTCACAATACGTTATCCCACTAAACTGATACAGAGATTATGTAATGTATTCTTAATCAAATAATTTTTATAGTCAACGTTAGACCAAGAAACTGCTTCAAGGTATTTATATGAGTTTAACAGATCCCCTTATATCAACCTGCTCATTAATGCTTTTGCAGTTAACAGCAAAGTGATTACACATTCATTTTTAATCTTACATATTCATTTTTAATGTTACATAATGTTACATACTGTCCTTGTCTTCTTTTAAAACTTCAAAGGAGTGCATTATGTATTTATGCTGTATTTCTACTCTGTACTTGCCTTCATATGTGTCTGCATGTATGTGCCTCATGTGTGTGCCTATTATCTGTTTATTTACATAAGGGTATATGTATACAAAATTACACATGTGAGTTTTGTTAGCAATGTGTTTCAAAATAATATACAAATGTGTGCGGGTTGTGTATGCATTATGTATATATATGTGTGTGTATGTGTGTGTGTGTTTGCACATATTTGTGTGTATTCATATGTTTCTGTGGGCTTGTCATGCAAGAGTGAAATGCTTGTGTTTCTTTCTCCCTGGAAACCAAAGAGCTCAACATATTTTGCCTGTTGTTACATAACCTGGATAAGTGAAAACTCAGTGCATTTATCAGGAAGAAATGGATTTTGCAATCTCACACTGTATCTGTTATTTCTTCCTAACTTGGTCAAGAAACTCACTGACGTGAGTGATCACTGATGAATCATCACTCTGAGAAAGGCCGTGACAAAAGGGTGTTTAATTGAAGTAACTTTTGAAGGAGTTATATTTTTTAATTTGCTTAAAATTATTGATTTAAAAAAGATCCATTCTTATTCTCTTAGTCTTGGATGTATTTGGTCATGATAACCAGATTTATCTTTGGAAACTATTGAATTTCATGCATAGTGGATCTCACACAGAATTTAAAAAGTGGTCTTGGCCATGCTTAGATTGAGAGAAGCAAAGATTCTGGCAGGTTTTATGGTCCCCTGGGGCTCAGCAGCTGCTTGCCCTGTTTTTTGGTAGCAAAATCCAATTTTCACTCTGCCCACATGGAAGGCAGCAGGGACCACACTAGTTCACAGAATTTTGACTTCCTCATTTGTGAAACGTGACCAAACACATCAATTTCAGTGGCAGGCAGGAGATTAGAAGAATATTAGATAAAGTTGAACAAATTGCAATCATCAAACACAAACTGCCACAAAAGTGCCAGATCAGAATCAGGGACAGACCTCAGGTTAGGGAACCAGAATGTACATAGAATGTGATTTGGAAGAAGCTCTCACTTTTTGAAGTGATATCCAGTCTACAACTGTGCAGATTTAAAAGGTTTTTGAAATATTTTCTGTTAGAACACAACTCGTATCATTCAAAATCATTCAACTACCCTATATAGATAACTTCAGAGGCTCTCTTCTCTGTGGACCATAGGATGAAATTTAAAATCTTAGCTTGTGATATGAGGCACTCCATAATTAAGCTTCAGCCTCTCCCTACAATGTGATTACCCATAGTTACTATCTCAAGCCTTCTACAGAATGACTCACCACATTCTATGAAAAGCCAGGTCACCTACTCCCCTCTGGACCTGCCTATATAAAATACTTTATCAAATTTCTTCTCTGATTTCCTGGTCAAGATATGAAATATTTCTGTTTTTCTCTCTGTATCTCTCTCCCTTGAAGAATCTTGCTTTGTATTCTTCCTATGGTACTTACTAATTTCTGTTTTGAATGACAGTCATTTAATTACCTAATTGATATCCTTATCTCACTATTTAAGGACAGGGTGTGCTTCACTTGTGCATTCTCCTGGCATGTAACACAGATACTTGCATATATATAAGAGGTGAAAAAATATATATTTGACAAATGAATAGGTGAGTAAATGAATGCAAGACATGCAACAATTTGATTTCTAAATGCTATCCTAACACTAACTTAATATCACAGCACCTCGATTTACTTAAATGAACAATACAAATTAGGATTATCTTATTAACTTGGATACCTTATATAACAAAATCCAAATGATTAACTCAAGATGGATTAAAGACTTAAACCTAAGACCTGAAACCGTAAAAACCCTAGAAGAAACCCTAGGTAATACCATTCAGGACATAGGCCTGGGCAAAGATTTCATGACTAAAACACCAAAAGCAATGGCAACAAAAGCCAAAATTGACAAATGGGATCTAATTAAACTAAAGAGCTTCTGCACAGCAAAAGAAACTGTCATCAGAGTGAACAGGCAACTTACAGAATGGGAGAAAGTTTTTGCAGTCTATCAGTCTGACAAAAGGCTAATATCCAGAATCTACAAAGAACTTAAACAAATTTACAAGAAAAAAACAAACAAAAAAAAAAACCACCAAAAAGTGGGTAAAGGATATGAACAGACACTTCTCAAAAAAAGACATTTATGTGGCCAACAAACATATGCAAAAAAAGCTCATCATCACTGGTCATTAGAGAAATGCAAATCAAAACCACAATGAGATACCATCTCATGCCAGTGAGAATGGCGATCATTAAAAAGTCAGGGAACAACAGATGCTGCCAAGGATGTAGAGAAATAGGAACACCAAGTCTGTTGGTGGGAGTGTAAATTAGTTCAACCATTGTGGAAGATAGTGTGGTGATTCCTCAAGGATCTAGAACCAGAAATACCATTTGACCCAGCAATCCCGTTACTGGGCATACTCCCAAAGGGTTATAAATCATTCTACTATAAAGACACATGCACATGTATGTTTATTGTGGCACTGTTCATAGACTGGTTAAAGAAAATGTGGCACATATACACCATGGAATAGTATGCAGCCATCAAAATTGATGAGTTCATGTCCTTTGCAGGGACATAGATGAAGCTGGAAACCATCATTCTCAGTAAACTAACACAAGAACAGAAAACCAAATACCACATGTTCTCACTCATAAGTGAGAGTTGAACAATGAGAACACATGGACACAGGGAGGGGAGCATCACACACCAGGGCCTATGAGGAAGTAGAGAGCTAGGGGAGGGATAGCATTAGGAGAAATGTAGATGACTGGTTGATGGGTGCGGCAAACCACCATGGTGCGTGTATACCTATGTAACAAACCTGCACGTTCTGCACATGTATCCCAGAACTTAAAGTATAATTTAAAAAATTGTTTTAAATGGAGATGGAGCCGATTAAAAAAAGTTGATGCAAATACAGGAACAATAGACTACCTCATGCCACATACAAAAATCCATGTCAGATGGTGTATTAGTTCATTCTCTCATTGCTATAAGGAAATACCTGAGACTGGGTAATTTATAAAGGAAAGAGGTTTAATTGACTCACAGTTCTGCATGGCTGCAGAGGCCTCAGGAATCTTACAATCATGGCAGAAGGGGAAGCAAACACCTCCTTCTTCACATGGTGGCAGGAGAGAGAAGTGCAGAGTGAAGGGAGGAATGTCCCTTATAAAATCATCAGATCTCATGAGAACTCCCTCACTATCACAAGAACAACATGGGGGAACTGCCCCCATGATCTAATTACCTACCATAAGGTCCCTCCCTCAACATACGGGGATTACAATTCAGATTACAATTCAAAATGAGATTTGGGTGGGGACACAGAGCCAGACCGTATCAGATGGATTAAAGACTTAACGTCAAACAAAGCTTTAAATAGAAAACATAAGTGTTATTCAATTAGAGAAAACCACTCTAAAAATCACATGGAACCAAAAAGGAGCCCAAATAGCCAAAGTAATCCTAAGCAAAAATAACAAAGCCAGAGACATCACACTACCTGGCTTCAAAGTATGCTATAAATCCACAGTAACCAAAAAAGCTTGGGACTGGTACAAAAGAGGACACGTAAACCAATGAAACAGATTAGGAAACTCAGAAACAAAGCTGCACACTTAAAACCATCGGATCTTCGACAAGGCTGACAAAAACAAGCTATGGGGAAAGGACTCACTATTCAATAAATGGTTCTGGAATAACTGGCTAGCCATATGCAGAAGAGTGACGCTGAACCCCTACCTTTCACAATATACAAAAATCAACACAAAATGGGTTAAATATTTAAATATAAGACCTCAAATTATAAAAATCCTGGAACACAACCTAAGAAATACTCTTCTTGATACTGGCCTTGGCAAAGAATTTTTGGCTAAGTCCCCAAAAGCAATTGCAACAAAAACAAAAATTGACAAGAAAGACCTAATTAAAGAGCTTCTGCACATCAAAATAAACAATCAACAAAGCAAACAGACAACCTACAGAATGGTAGAAGATATTCGCAAACTATGCATCTGACAAAGGCCTAATATCCAGAATCCATAGGGAACTTAAATCAACAAGTGGAAAGAAATAACTACATTTTAAAATTGGCAAAGAATATGAACAGACATTTCTCAAAAGAAGACAAACAAGCGGCCAACAAACATATGAAAAAATGCTCATCATCACTAATCCTCAGAGAAATACAAATCAAGATACTATCTTACACCAGTCAGGATGGCTGTCATTGAAAAGTCAAAACATAATAGATACTGGTGAGATTGTAGAGAAAATGGAACATTTATACATTGCTCATGGGAATTTAAATTAGTTCAGTCCCTGTGGAAAGCAGTTTAGAGATTTCTCAAATAACTTAAAGCAGAACTACCATTTGGCCCAGCAATCCTGTTACTGGGCACATACCCAAAAAAAAAATAAATTATTTTGCCAAAAGGACACATGCACTTGTATGTCCATCATTGCACTATTCACAATAGCAAAGACACAGAATCAACCCAGTCACCCATCAATGGTAGAATGGATAAAGGAAATGTGGTACATATACACCATGGACTACTACACAGCTATAAGAAAGAACAGAATAATGTCTTTTGTAGCAACATGGATTGAGATGCAGGCCACTATCCTAAGTGAATTAATGCAGGAAAAGAAAACTAAACATTGTATCATTTATAAGTGGGAGCTAAACATTGAGCACACATGCACATAAATATGATAGATGCTGTGGACTACTAGAGGAGTCTACTAGGGGAGAAATAGATTTTAAAAAAACTATCTTTCAGGTTCTATGCTCGCTACCTGGGTGACAGGGTCCATACTCCAAACCTCAGCATCATGCAGTATTGCAGGTAACAAATTTGCCCATGTACCCACTGTGTCTAAATAAAAGTTGAAAAAAAACAAAATTTGAAAAAAAAAATAGTCATATAATCCAAATGTTAGAGAGGATATGAATTTATTTGATCTCTTATACATTTCTCTGAAAGGTACAATTTTGCACAATCACTTTGAAAAAAATGTTTTGGCATTATCTAGAAAGTTGAACATTCCTGTGCACTATATCCCAGAAATCTCATTCTTAGGTATTTACCCAAGGTAAAAGAAAAAAAAACAGATTTAATAAAAAAATTTCAAGATCATAGAAAGTGATAAAACTTTATTCCATACCTCAGGAAAAAAAGGAAGATAATAAAAAAGACTCAAAAGTACCAATATTAGAACAGATATAGCTTAAAATAAAAAAACATTAGCTTGAGGAAAAAATCATGCAAAAATAGTGGAAAAATTACAAAGAGATTAAAATTATTACAGAGAAAATGATATTTATGTCAAAAAGACAAAGGACATCCAACTTTCACATGATTGGTTTCTTAAAAACAGAATGGAATAAATGAGAACATACATTCAAATATATAATGAAAAAATACTTTTTCAAGATATAAAAAACTTGCATGTGAAGTTCAAAAAAATACACTGTGTTTTCAGAAAACTGATACAGAACTATAAAGCCAAGAAATAGCCATTGACCTTCAAGGATTAATCAAACAAAAGAACTCAGAAATTTGGTGTCAATTGTATGAATAAACTACTAACTTACATTGAGTCTATTTAAATAGAGAACCAAGGCTAAGAACAATATGAGAATTGTGGGTACCAAAAAAAAAGCAAAAACATTATAAACTCTAACAATATTAGAAATATAAATATCAGAAAGTGGGAAATTAATGTTTTCATTTAGAAAATTAAGAGGAAATGTAATTATATTCACTTCCTCATTTTCAAAGAAAAACTTCAACATATTGATAAAAGTAGATACCTCAAAAATACAGATTTATGTATATTATTTATGATTATTGTGTTACCTACAACATAGCCTAAGATTATATTATGGACTTTTGAAATTTTCTACAGGAAAAGCAAAAGTGCACAGACATACACACACACTCATACACATGTGCATAGCAATAACAACATCAAAAGAAGCAACAAAATGAAAAAAGAAAAGGAAAATGGAATGCATATAGCAGATCTCTTCTCTCCCTCTCTATCTCTCTTTATATAAACATATGGAATATATTTATTTATACATTTTTTTTCTGGAAAGCCTAGAACAACATACTTCACAAAATTGAAATATGTCAGTAGTGCTTCAGAGCCATGGAACTTGTTGCCTAAATGATTCTTGGAACTCTCAACTGCACTTCCCACCAACACAACTGACCTCTCCATTCTCTGAAGTCCTTGTGGTTCTGTTGTCTGTGATATCACTCTTTGAATACAATCCTGGAGACAAAGAGAAGCTAAGCATTGGAAGGGATGTTAATGTCATGGCAAAGTCACCTTGCCCCTCTGATTCAATTTCTTCTATTATAAGACGCCTAACTTGACTCCTTCATTGTCTCTAGGGTAGTGTCTATTTCCTACCTAGCTATGTACTTGTGAAAAACTTGAACTCTAGCCTTGGACACCTTTTTCTCATTAAGTGCCAAGCACTACCTCTTTCTTACTCATAGTAAGGACTCCTCCCTCCGGCCTTTCTCCTGACGCCAAAGTCGCCGCGGCTGCCTCCACCACCTCCGCTTTGGCAGTGGCTGCGGTGGTGGCCCTGCATTGTGGCCCCCGGGCTCCCCGCCGGCGACATGGCAGAGCTGGGCAGCTTGCAGCAAGGAGACAATTCTCCCAGGGACCCAGCGGCCTGGCCCGGAGGGGTGGGGAGGGCTGGGCTGCCGTGCCCTTCCAGGGAGGGACCCCCTTGGTACACTGACCTCTGGGACCCAGCGGTGCCCGCGCTGTGCTCTTGGATCTGGAGCCCGGCATCATGGACTCTGTGCCCTTCGGGCGAATCTTCAGGCCGGACAACTTCATCTTCGGTCAGAGTGGTGCAGCGAACAACCGGGCCAAGGCACACTAGTGGCCCACTACTATTACAGAAGGCTCAGAGCTGGTGGAGTCAGTGATGGATGTTGCGAGGAAGGAGGCTAAGAGCTGTGAGTGCCTTCAGGGTTTCCAGCTGACCCACTCCCTGGGTGGGGGGACTGGATCTGGGATGGATACCCTTCTCATCAGCAAGATCTGGGAGGAGTACCCAGACAAATCATGAACACATTCAGCATTCTTCCCTAGCCCAAGGTGTCGAACACAGTGGTGGTGGTCCCTGATGAATGAGGTCCAACTGCTTGTTCTTGCCGTGCAATAACAAGATGTAGACAGACTGGAAAAGAAGGGAGTTTATTTGTGCAACCAGTTACAGGGAGAAGGTCAAAGTAACTCACCAGAACAACTCAAAGTTACAAGTTTTTCTCCAGTGCTTATGTACATTTTAAGCTCCATGCCTATGTGTAGGAGTGTACCTACAAACAGAAGTGTTTCATTCAATCTACATCTAATCTTTAGGCTCTAAAAAGGTTTCTCTAGAGCCTTGGAAACTTTATTAATCTTAAGTGGGCCCTGGTATGAGGTGTATATGTAAGAATGCTTTTATTATTTTATCAGACTTTAGGAGCTAAGAAAATTCAGGTGGGATCTTAATGGGTTTGTTTTTGCATTGCAATCTTTGTACTCAGGGGCCAGTTTCTCCAGTTCTTTAATGCTGAACGTGTGCATTCGTCAGAATTATAGTAAAAGATGAGTGGAAACTGGCTGCTACTGAAAACCCGGCCTGCCACCCTCTCAGTCCACCACCTCATAAAAAAAACATAGACAAAACACAGACATTTTGCATTGATAATGAAGCTCTCTATGACATCTGCTTGAGAACTCTAAAGCTGCCCACATCCACCTATGGTGACCTGAACCACCTGGTTTCTCCCACCAGGAGTGGGGTCACTCCCTGCCTGTGCTTCCCCAGCCAGCTAAATGCTGACCTACAGAAACTGGCTGAGAACATGGTCTCATTTCCCTGCCTGTACTTCTTCATGCCTGGCTTTACCCTGCTGACCAGCCAGGGTAGCCACCATTACTGGGCCTGATGGTGGCTGAGCTCACCGAGCAGATGTTTCATTGCCAAGAACATGATGGCTTCTTGCAACCTCCACCATGGTTGCTACCTAATGATGGCTGCCATTTTCAGGGTCCACATGTCCATGAAAGAGATGGACAAGCAAATGTTTAACATCCAAAAAGAGCACAGCAGCTATGTTGCTGATTGGCTCCCCCACAATGTGAAATTGGTTGTCTGTGACATCCCACCCCACCCCGGGGCTAACTAAAAATGTCTGCCACCTTCATGGTCAGCAACACAGCCATCCAGGAAAAAAAAATCATTCAGCCCTGATTTAATTAATAAAGGATTGAATATTAGAAAGTTTAGAGATTGTCTGTATTGGGTTTTTTTTTTCTGCCATTCTGCTAATCACTTAACATGCATTGAATGATCTAATCTTCATAGCAATCCTATTGCTAGTTTATACTTGAACCAAAGCATAAAGAGACTAATAAACATGCCCAAATTAGGATTTGAACGCAGGCAGTCTAGTTCCTGATTAACTACTATGCTGCACAACAGAGGCAAATGAGTAGCATGTATTTTCCTGAATCTTCAATTGACTCGACATACATTCAAAGATTTAGGATACATGGATCACTTCCTTCAACATGCCGAGCTGCACCTGCACCAGGGAACTTCACATGCTTTCAGCAGGTGGAGAGGAAGCCCCAGGGGTGGAAAGATGCCCCGTGAAGTAGAGGAGGATTTGCAATCCCAGGCATCAGTACTTGCTCCATTAACAGCTCCTCTGAGAGCCAGGTCCACATGAGGCATAACCAAACAGGTATGATACTTGGCCATTTGCCAATTTGTTCTTCCCCTGCAGACACCTTGGGAAAGAAATGCTTCTCAATCACTAACCACAGGAAGGTTAGGGAGAAGGTCTAGGAGGAGGAGCCCTCGGGCAAGTCCCAGTTTTGAGAAAATAGCCCAGGCAATGGCTTACCCTTTACGTGTGTGTCTAACCAGTGAATTGTGGCATTTGGGCTCTCTTAAAGCTTTGGCAGTTCTAGGAGTCATCATTATGGCTGTAGAAATGTGTTCATGTCTTTGAGACTTTTTAGTTTTCTTTTCACTTAAAATAAACCTAACATCACTCATTCATCACTAAATCTCCGTCAGTGCCCTGACACGTGAACACTGATGCTTTCATACTGCTAGATCTATTGCAACATTTACTATATTATGCTATAATCTTGGCTCTCCATCTGTCTCCCCTCTAGACCATGTGCTCCTAGAGTGAGGGAATAACCTGTTAGTCATGTCTGTCTGCCCTGTGTCTGAAAGAAGAATGTCTAACACCAAGCAGATATCAATGCCCTGGTGAAATGAGCAAAAGACAAATCAGCTGTCCAGTAAAACAACAAATTTATCCAATGAAACTGAATCAAAGGGAGATGCTGAACTTTCTGACTGGAAAGCATGTCTCCCAATCCATGGCCTAAGCATCATTTCCAAAGTCTAGGCCCCTGACTGGACCTTAAACTTATGCAAGTGTAATTGTAGGTCAACAAGTATATGGATTACTCTCTGTGGCATTCAGATCAACATTTTAATTAGTATTCAAGATGCTGATGCAACATTATTTCATGTATGGCATGTAAAATGGCACAACATATATTTTATGTATTTACTAAAAACATAAATAAAAACAACTTATACAGGAATAATCACTTTGACATTTAGGGATGTTGCCTTCCTACTATCATTCTCATTCTCATATGCATGTGTACAAATAGCTAGATAGATAGAGATATATGTATACATAGACAGATGATAGATATGTAGATGGATAGATACATGATAGATGATAGACAGATAGATAGATAGGTATGACTTTGAAAAGATTTTCCTGTTTCATCCCCAGAAACTGTGCATATGTTACCTTACATGGTCAAAGAGGTATGGCAGATGGGAGTGAGAGCCTGACTTGGAAATAATCCTGGGCTGGGCATGGTGGCTTACCCTTGTAATCCTAACACTTTGGGAGGCCAAGGTGAGTGGATCACTTGAGGTCAGGAGTTCGAGACCAGCCTGGCTAACATGGTGAAACCCTGTCTCTACTGAAAATATAAGAATTAGCTGGGCTTGGTGACACATGCTTGTAATCCCAGCTACTCAGGAGGCCGAGGCATGAGAATCTCTTGAACCTAGGAGGTGGAGATTGCAGTGAGCCAAGATGACACAACTGCACTCCAGCCTGCGGGACAGGGCGAGACTCAGTCAAAAAGGAATAAAGGGAGGGGAGGAGGGAGGAAGGGAGGAAGGAAGGAAGGAAAAGAAAATCCTGGATTGCATTGGGTAGGCCCCATCTAATCACAAAGGTCCTTATAAGAGGCAGGCAGAAGGGTCAAAATCAGAGAAGGGGATGCGAAGACAGAAGCAGAGTTTAGACTGATGCTAACGGGGTCATGAATTAAGGAATGAGGGAAGCCACTAGAAGCTGGGAAAGGCAAGGGACAGATTCTCCTCTAGAGGCTCTGACAGGCAGGCAGTCTTCCCAATGTATTTGGACTTCTGACTTCTAGAACTGTCATGTAATAAATTTATGTTATCTTGAGCCAGTAGTCTCTGATAATTTTTAAAGCAGCAATACAAATTTAATATAGATAGATGCATTTGATTCCCAGACCTGCCACAACAAATTACCATTAACTGGGTGGCTTAAAACAACAACATGTATTCTCTCACCATTCTAGAGGCCAGAAGTTCAAAATGAAATGTTGGCAGAATCCTTCCTTGTCTCTCACTAGCTTCTGATGGTTGCCAGAAATCTTTGGCACTCCTTAGCTTATAGACACATCACTTCTGTCTCTGTCTCTGTCATCATGTGGCATTCTCCCTGTGGTTATGTATCTTTACATGGCCTTCTTAAAGGGATACCAGCCATTGTATTTAGGGCCCACCCTAATCCAGTATGACCTGATCTTAACTAATGATATCTACAAAGACCCTATTTCCAAATAAAATCACATTCTGGAGTTCCAAGTAAACATGGATTGGGGGGCAGGGGGGTTGTGGGGGAAGGGGAGCACTATACAACCCAGTAGAGAGAAAAAGAGAGGCAGAGATTCTTTGATAATACCATTTTTATTGTTGCTTGATATTTTGTTGTATGTTTATAGCAGAATTTACTATGTTGATTCATTTCACCAGTAACACATTGTTATACTTACATAAGCATCAGTTATTTCACTAGAAGAATTGTCCTTATTTCTGAATGCCACATTCTGCATAAGATATTGACAAACTGGAACTTACTTCAGGAAGGACAAAGCAGGATAGAGAGAATGGACTCCAGATTATTTCCTATGAAGAACACTGAAGGAAGAGAATGAGAAATCAAAAAAGAGACGCCGGAGGACATTCATGGAGGATATGTTAAAACACTTACACGTACCACTACATTGAAGATAAATTAATTTTATTCTGTTTTTCCTTAAGGCATTGAACTAAGGCAAATGGATCAGAAACCATCCCAAAGGGAAAAGTGCTAAAATACTGGTTTCACTTCTCCAGGGTCTCCTTTCTTTCTTAGATCTTGGGCCTGAAATTTTTCACAATCTTAGTAGCATTCCAAAGCCTTCAAACAAGCGTTCCTTAAAAACATTTTTATCAGAAACTATGAATGGTATGAAATTTTATAAACTGTTAAGAACTGCTGAGGGTCTCAAATATTTCCCTACTTACAAATCAAGATGTTATCCTATTACAGTTTTACAGATACTGTGAAAGATATGAGACTCTTGGGTCTAATACAATGGATGGCGTGATACTCACAGCAACGACAGTATAGCCAGAGTGTCATGATTTTCTTGACCAGTTCTTAAGTCTCAATTACCACAGGGTGATATGAAAAGCGTCAGGTGATTCCTGCATATGTGGCGGTTGCATCACAGGAAAGAAACTCTGAGCTTTGGAAGCTCAAATTTTTCATAGTGGTCTCTAAACAAACCTGCCTGACCTTTGTCCTGGAAGGAGACATTGTTAATATAGGAAGAGCCTTGAAAAGGTGGTTCAAAACAAAGGTGTTAGTATCATTGCTTACAAGATAAGTAGAAATGCAAGAGACCCATAGAGAATTGCCTGTCAACAAGATCTACTCTTCCTTCATTTCTGTACCATCTTGATGTCTACTTAATTTCCCCCATGAGTTCATCACTACTTCAGCTACTTTGATTAATCTAACTGATGAGTGAGTTCAACTCCATTCAATTTGTCTCATACAGTATTTAATTAAGATTACTATGAATAGGACTCCAATTAGCAAGATGAGGTCAATCTGGAGTATTAACCTCAACCGTGTCTCCTCCCTCCCTATCCCCACGATCCAGAACTCAACCACCTAAACAAATTCCATAAAACATCAGCATCTATCTTTAAAAATCAGCTTGCTTTCTCCTTAAGTTGTTGTATTGACATTTCTACTTGGCCTTAGCTAGTAATCTATGATTAGTGATGACACAGATTCTGCTTTGGTCTGAAAGGTGGAAGCCTAAGGCAATCCCATCATCCATAACAACCTTGACTAATGAATTGGCATTGCCCTGAATGCCTTTCCATTTCATATTTGGTGTCGTTGATCACTTTACCTAAAGTTAAGAAAAAACTTCATACCGACTTTTTAAATGGATGATGCTCATTATAGAAAAACCTACTTATTTTTTTTTGTAGGATCTACTAAAACAATGAGCCAGTTATTCTTCCAGAAAGCTTCTTCAAGTAGCCAAAGGAACCCTCATTTTGCAGAGATCTCTGAAGTCATCTGAGGTTTAAATGATTTACTGGTAGAAATCATTTTGTTAAACAATTTCAGGTCACTTATGACCACCCCTATAAGGGGAAATTACTGTGTCTTTAGGATGGAGGCAAGATATTTTCTGGCTTTTATGCAAGTACAATCTCAAGGGTAGACACGGTGCCCATAGAAAATAAAATGTTACTGTTTCTCCCTACAGGTCCATGTGGGTGTTGGGCAGGTGGTGGGAGGGGGAGCACCACAAGAACAGCTAATGGATGCTGGGCTTAATATTATACCTAGGTGATGGGATGATCTGTGCAGCAAACCACTGTGGCACACATTTACCTCTGTAACAAACCTGCACATCCTGCACATGTACCCCTGAACTTAAAATAAAAGTTGAAGAAAAAAAGTGTTATTTAAAATTGTTGTGACCCGCCGAGTGGGATTTTTATTGGTCAGGAGCACAGGTTGATGCCTCTAACATAGCATTTCAGTGGGTCGCTTTTAGGATTCTTAGTTAATTTTTTTCTTTCTGAGGCATTGCCTGAAGAGAGTTAGCCCAACCTGTTCTATTTGTTCATGCCACCAGCGTTTGTCCTCTCCATGGAATAACTGATCATTGGACAGGGAGGGTAACTAGAAATATTGACAGTATTTTTCAGTGAGAGTACAGAAGTTGGGGGCATGCCTTGCTGTTTTTGCTAGACTTATCAGACCATACCTGGTAAGGGGGCACTAGACCTAACAGTCAGCGAAATTCAAGACACTTGCAACAATTTGGGATATCAACACACCAAAAGAAAGTTTTAAGCAGTGTTTCTGAAAGAGACAAGGATTATTAACATCCCACTCTTCCTCATATATCCCTTGGTCTAAGGTATTCCCTCCTCAGGAATTAGGATAGTTGCTTTTTCTTCACTTCCACAATATTGATGTATACCATTCCAGTAGCTATAGCTGTACCTTTTTATTCTTCTTATTCCTTACTTGCACTCAGACTTTTTTTCTGGAAGGATCAGGAGTAAGAGGAACATGACATTTTTATAAAACTTAACCATAATTAAGGTTGAATGTCCTATCTCCCCTTTTGACTGGACTGTAATTCAGAGTGTATCAGTCAAGCGGTCTAGGGCTCTGTTCAGGGAAAGAAAGTTGCAACATGCTCAAGAATCGTCAAGATGGAATTCTGAATTTTTAAAAGAGACCTGTGTAACTTCCCACCTCTTTCATCTTGACCATGCCCCAGGAAGCAGGCTATAGGAGATGACCCCTTTCTTGGGATAGCCATACGTAGTGGCCAGACTGCCTTACTAAGGTGTGTAGACCAGGTGAAGTTGAGATAGATAGTTTCAGAAACCTTTTTGAGTCAAGTTTTGGGGAAGCCTTTCCAACACTCGATAAGACCAGGTATATTACCATACAGTGGATGGTAAGAAGTATGGAAGTTTCATGAAATAACTAGACAGATTTTTGAGTGGGTTTTGAGATAAAAGATGGGCTAGGTGCTGTGTGGCTCATGCCTGTAATCCTAGCACTTTGGAAGGCTAAGGCAGAAGGATCACTTAAGGCCAGGAGTTCAAGACAAGCCTGGGCAACATAGTGAGACCTCTGTCTCTACACAAAAATTTAAAATTAGCTAGGCTTGGGGACACATCTGTAGTCCCAGGTGGGTCGAGGCTGCCATGAGCTATGATCGGGCCACTGCAGGTCAGCCTGGGTGATACAGCAAGACACTGTCTCAAAAAAAAAAATAAAAATAAAAAAGATATACCATTTTCAGACTATAAATGGATCAGAAAGCCAAATATGTGGCATAGATTAGTTTTAAGGACCACAGTGGTGCCCAGGTGCAGTGGCTTATGCCTGTAATCCCAGCAGTTTGGGAGGCTGAGGCCGGTGGATCACTTGAGGTCAGGAGTTTGAGACCAGTCTGGCTGACATGGTGAAACTCCATCTCTACTAAAAATACAAAAAATTAGCCAGGCATTGTGGTGGGCGCCAGTAGTCCCAGCTACTCAGGATCCTGAGGAAGGAGAATCACTTGAACCTGGGAGGCAGAGGTTGCAGTGAGCCGAGGTGGCGCCATTGCACTCCAGCTTGGGCAATGAGAGCGAAATTCTGTGTCAAAAACAAACAAACAACAACAACAAAAAAAACAGAACGACAATGGTGAGGCTGGAATTGGCTAGTATTATGGCACAACACTTCAATCTGCAAAAGTATTAGCAGTGGTAAGGCTTCACCAGTAGTCCTGAGAGGGTGAAAGGTTGATTACTTCAGGTAGTCAATGAGCCAGGAGCAAGAAAGGCTCCCCTACCTACCATGCGACAAATGAGCCAACTATGGTGATCTTTGGGGAAACCTCCCTTCTTCCTCTTCTCTTTTCAATAAACTACTTTTTGATTGAGCAAAAGCTCCTGTTCTTGCTTCTGAAGCTTGTACAGATAGTTTTAGACTTTTAAGTACTTCAACCTAGTCTTTATGGTACCCATTGTAGGAATCTGCACAATCTATCTTTCAAATGCTTTGTCAATGTCACAAACAAGTTTATTATCCATCCCTCCTGACTACAGAGAAGAAATTTTTTAAAAAGATGAGGACCAAGACATTGTCTAATCTCCGGGTCACAAAATGAATTATGTTATCACTGAGAATTTATTGATAGGATTTTTCCCTCAAATCTCTCTCTTTCATCTCTTTTAGTATGAAACAGATCAATTTGTTTATTTAAGGTGTATTATTTAACTTAATATTATTGAGTGCCTGTTCTTTGATAGGCACTTTGTTAAGTATTAGGAAAATCAACAACAAAGAAAATATTGCCATGCTTTACAAGATATTTGACTATTAGAGAGAGATAATACAGCTCAACATGATCTATGAAAATATGGAATTCTCATGTGTTGCAAGAACAGACAAGTGAGCATCCAGCCTGTTCTGGAAAGTAAAGAGGCTCATGGAAACCATATCAGAAAAAAAATCCCCTGAACTGAATTTTGAAAAATAAGAAGGAGTTGGCAAGAAAAAATGCTGGGTTTGTTTCGTTTATTTGTTTGTTTTTAGGTGGAAAGACAAAGGAGGTGCTGAGATGGAATAATACAAGAAAAAGGAGGAGAGAGCAAGAAATGACCTGGGTCTACAGAGTGTGTATAATAATAAGCAGTGAGTTTGGGGAGCATAAAGTGAAAAGCAGAGGGTGGAGGAGCAGGGGAGTGGGAAGGTAGAGTAGGAAGTAATAAAGGATTTTGTCACGTGTAGACTTTATTTCACTTTATTCTACTTTACTCTTCATTCTACTGAACTATGCTGTTAGCCTTTATTCTACTGGTGATGAAGACCGATTCATTGTTTGACAGGAGAGTTACAGTGCTTCTTTGCGTGTAAAGTAATCCTCCAGGATGGTCAAATGAAGAACATATTGATAGATGGAGAGATGGAGACAGACCCATAACAAATGGCATTTAAGTAATAGATACAGTAGACACCGAGACTTAAGGAGGCTAGGCTTTAAACCTATTTAGGAGAAAGAATCAACAGAGCCTCTAAGTGAAGAGAATAAGAGAGAAGGAAGAGGCAAGCAGGATGCCTAGTTTCCTAGCTTAGGTAAAAGGGAACAGTGTGGGTTGCAGTGGCACTTCCTGAGATAGAGAAAACACGGCACAGTGGTTTTGAAGTTTAAGTGAGCATGCTAAGTGTAGATATTTACCCTGTGTCTAAAAATCAATTTGAAAATTATCAGCACATACCTGACAAGTAAACCCTGGGGTCTAGATGAGAATATTTACGAAAAATAGGAAGGTCTCAAGGGGAAAACTCTGAAGATCATCAACTCATAAGAACCTGGGGGCAGCAGTGAGGAGGCCACTGAAGGAGACTGGAGCACACAGGAGAAAATCTAGGAAGAAGTTCTGCCATGAGAGCACTTAATCAAGAAGAGGACTGAAAACTGTATATTGAGTTTAACAACATAAAGATCATGGTGACCTGAAGGAGAGCAGCGCTGTGGGAAGGTGAGAGCAGATACTGACTGTAGTGAACTGTCAATGCTATTATTCAGCATATATTGAATATGTCCTTTGCCATTAGGAAAATCTCATTATATAATGTTGATTCTTTGTAAAAATTAAAGGGAAATTCCTTGGGCAGAGGTTTCGCAGAGTATCCTCATTAAAGGAGTGACCTTATTAAAAAGAAAACAGGAAATGTTTAATTCACTTACGTTATAAATTTTCTTTTCCTTTTTATTTTTGAGACAATGTCTCACTCTGTCACTCAGGCTGAAGTGCAGTGACTCAATCAAGGCTCACTGTAAACTCAACCTCCCGGGCTCCAGTGATCCTCCAGAGTAGCTGGGACCACAGATGTGCACCACCACACTGGGCTAATTTTTGTATTTTTAATAGAGATGGGGCTTTGTCCTGTTGCCCAGGCTGGTCTCAAACTCCTGAGCTCAAGTGATTCACCAGTCTCAGCATCCCGAAGAGCTGGAATTACAGGCAGGAGCCATGGAACCGAGCTGATGTTATATATTTCTTGGCGAGCATGCAGAACTTTCAGAGAAAAGCCATGCGTTGAGAATATTGAGGAAGTAGCAAAATGTCCTCTAATAATGGAGGTGAAAGGGTGGTCAGCTCATGATCCAGACTTCGCCCGGTTTATTAGAGAAGAAAAAGGAGATGGCTTAGAAGTCTACAGTTGAGGCAGACAGTGGCACACCTTATTTCAACAAAGACAAACTGTAATGTTGAACACATTCTCACAATCTCACATCATCCATTTTCTTCTACGGTCATGTTTCAAAAAATATTTCATGAAAGTGTGTCTGGAAGAAAATAGGAAATGTCATTCCTGGTGAGTTCCAGTCAAAATGAGCAGGAGAAAAATACAGACTCAAGTAATTAGGTTTTATACTCAGCTCAGGCTGCAACATCTGTTACCTCACTGTCTCCTGGGTCTGATGTGTTGATCAGGAGTGTTGTGGTGAGAAATAGGGTAGAGAGCTTTCCTTCGTGAGATAGCCAAGAGCAGGGCAAGAACATGGGCTCTTAATGGACCCCGCAATGTATTCGTTCTCTACCATTTGAAGAGTTAGTTTACCTCTCTGAGTGGCATGAGTTTGGGTTTTTTCTTTTCTTTTCTTTTCTTTTTTTGTTTGTTTGTTTGTTTGTTTTTTGAGACGGAGACTCACTCTGTCACCCAGGCTAGAATGCAGTGGCACAATCTTGGCTCACTGCAATCTCCGCGCCCCCAGGTTCAAACAATTCTCCTGCCTCAGCCTCCTGAGTAGCTGGGATTACAGGCGCCTGCCACTATGCCCAGCTAATTTTTGTATTTTTAGTAGAGACGGGGTTTCACCATGTTGGCCAGACTGGTCTCGAATCCCTTACCTCGTGATCTGCCTGCCTCAGCCTCCCAAACTGCTGGGATTGCAAGCATGAGCCACCGCGCCTGGCCGAGTTTTGTTTTTTAAAAGAAGGTAGCAATACTTTCTCAAAAGATTATTGAGAGGATTAAGTTACCGTTTAAAATACTCAAATGAGCCTGCGAAGTTCTTAAAATATTAGACAATAAGAAATTTTTTATTCCTTTTTCTTTCCTTCTTTCTTTTATGCTTCAGTCTCTCCTTCCTTTCACCTCAGTAAATATCTGTTCTTTCACATAAAGACCCTGACTTTGCAGGAGTCTAAGTGTCACCTTCCCAGAAATTTAGATTGTTTGAATGACAATAATATCCCCCAGAAAATGAGTGCTAATTTGAAAGTGTTCAGCCATAAAAAGGAATGAGATCATGTCCTTTGCAGGGACGTGGATGAAGCTGGAAGCCATCAACCTCAGCAAACTATGACAGGAACAGAAAACAAAACACTGCATGTTCTTACTCATAAGTGGGAGTTGAACAATGAGAACACGTGGACCCAGGGAGGGGAACAACACACACTAGGGCCTGTTGCGGGGTGGGGGGCGAGGGGAGGGAACTTAGAGAATGGGTCAATAGGTGCAACAAACCACCATGGCACACATAGACCTAGGTAACAAACCTGCACGTTCTGAACATGTATCCCAGAACTTAAAGTAAAATATAAATAAATACATGCATACATACATACATACAACAAAAAAGGATGTATTCTTGGAGGCTGAAAGGCCTCCAAAAGCCCAGGAGTTCCCCTAAGCAGATTGATTTTTACTAGGGACTTGATGACATCAACGAAGTTTTTCCAAGTTAGAAAATGACTCAGCTTCTGCAAGGGCCATATGCACAGTTTTCCACCTCATTAACAAAATGTTTATTCCTTATAAACCCTAAAAGAAAGAATAGCTCTTTCCCAAGAAAACAGCCTCTCCTCTCTCCAGTCATTGACATTGGATTGAACATCAACACACAAACTGTAAACATCACTTTCCCATGCCAATGACCCTCATCTCCAGACCTGGGAGAATAAAAAGTGTGTCTTTTTGACATCCCAGCTATCTGGTATTTTCTGGACATCAAGGTGTAAACTATAACTGTGAAAGTTACAGCTATTTGGTTTTTGGTGTGGCTTATCCAAAAAATTTCAGGTAAGGGAAACTAAACTGATCTCTGGCAAGTGAAAATATATGTCAAAACTCTTTTCATTACACTCAGAAGGATGTTGTCTCTGATGTTTGGATAACATCTGATGTTTGCAGATGCCAACTTGCCAAATAGATGAATTCAGACTTTTCTAAGATCCAGGTTATAGTTCCTATCAAAATGGGGGCTGTCATTTGAAGTTTCTCCTAGTCAGTCAAATTGACATAAGAAATGAACTATAACAGCCCATAACCCAGTAGTCATTTAGATACAGGTAATTAGGCTATTTCTCCTATTTTTAACCAGCAGGAAAGAAACAGATGAGCTTTTTACTGGTTGGGCCAAAGAATTGCAGGAAAAATTATGGTTCTAGGATTGGTAGGCAGTTGGCAATATAAGTATCAGGGAAGACAAGAAGAGAGTGAAATGGTTGAGAGTAACAATTGCAGATCCCTATTGACTTCACTACATTAAAAAAGAGAGAGACAGGTCTATTGAGCAAAGTAAAAGAGGTAGTGGCGGAATATTTCCAATCAGATCCCTTTTATCTCATCCCTTTCTTCCAAAAATAGTGATTGGAATTGGTTTTAAGTTTCTGAGTAAATAGGGAAATCATTTTCTTCCTAGGCAAAATATTAGGTGTTCCTATGAAGTGATAAATATAAAGTGCTCTGTGTGTGTGTGTGTGTGTGTGTGTGTGTGTGTGTGTGTGCGCGCGCGGACGCACACAGGCACACATGCACATGCCCAAAAGAAGCCTCTAGCCTATTTGGATGTCACAGATGAATAATATTCCTAAATATATGGTTCTTCATTACTACACGTTGGTGTCCCTTATATGAAAGGACATAGAGTTGTCTTGTGATGTTTCTACTGAGGAGGTATCTCAAGGCAACTAAGGTTTCACTTGAAAAAAATGGCTATTTTTTATGTCAGTCACCAGGAAAATAATGGATTCTTGACAAGAAAGAAATAAAAGTGAAGACCAAGGCATAGGTATGCAGGGAAAAGATGTGCTTATCTCCTCGAGGTCTTACTTTCCTGGGTCTTCCTTAGAGGAGAAAATCAAATTGTGTAGATGCAGGAGATGTACCCTGGAGCTTCACATCATAACAGCGGTGTGCACAGGTGATGTTTATAATGTGACTGGGTTTTCGTTTAGAAAGATAAATTCCCTGCAGTATGGGAACTTCATTGGAGAGCCAAAAGAAAGAGCTGAACTGGAGTAAAGACAAAGGAATGACTAGATTTCTGAAGTGTACACGAGTGAGAATTATGTAAAACAGGTTACAGACTTGGGAAGACATGAGAAGCTTAGTTTGGGGTATGTTGAGCTGGAATTGCCTGTGTAACCTACAAGTGGGGATTCAGGCAATTAAATATTTGGTCCTGAGGCAAAGAAGAAAAATCTGGGCTGGGGATATGGATATGGCATCTCCAATGTACAGAAAGAATTAAAACAATGGAATGGAAGTGGAGTGAGAAGAAAAGAGGGCCAGGACAGAATGCTTGGGAATACTGAGCGATGGGTAAGAACAGAGGAACAGGAACCCACAATAGCTTGTAAAAATAAAATGACCAGACAGAAACACGAGCACACGGTGAATGCATAAGGCCGCCGCTAAGAACTGAGAAGGAAGTTGGATTTTGATCAACACAAAAGAGAGGGTGTCTTAGGAGAATCTAAACCTAAATTGAGCCTCTCTGCAGGGAAATAGGACTAAGAAAGCATGAGCCAGAGATAAGAGGGACATTAGATGAAGTGTTAGACCAGAGGGTGTTGTTGGAGAGGGATTTCTAGTGGAGACCAGACGTGGAAGTGGGCGTCTGCACACATAGAGCCAAGGAGAGAGATGACACCAAAGAATCGTCCAGAAAGGAAGCTATACACATTCTAAATTCTACATAGAGTTTGCTACATGCATTTCTTAAACCTGCACTGCATTGGGCCGTGGCAAACTGTCACTCTTACAAGAGTTCAGGCTTGGGCTGCTTTTAAAAGACGTCAACCTGGAAATATCCTAGATATGCTTTGCTATAAATCAAGCATATCTAAGTGTCATCTTAAAAGTTGGGTATGTCATTCCAGGCAAACTCAATCCCATTCTTCTGACCAGCAGTACCTGGGGGAAGAAGGATTCACGCTACAAAAACTGCTGGGGGAACTTTAGAAAGCTTCAGAAAGGAGACTATTCAAATAGTCTTTACAGGCCTTAGCTGATTAAGCCCCAACTCAGTGAAAGAAAATGGAAAGTAAATAATGTCTCCGATGATTGAAGGCTAAGTGACATGACTGAGGTCACTCAGCAAGTTAAAGGCACAGACTCAAAGAAGGAAGAATTCTAATGTTTTGCTCTCCTCACCCATAGATGTGTTCATCTTGTTTTTTGTTTGTTTGCTTTGTTTTGTTTTGTTTTTTTTGAGACAGGGTCTCCATCTATCACTGAGGCTGGAGTGCAGTGGTGTAATCTTGGCTCTCCGCAGCCTCAATCTCCCAGGCTCAAGTGATCCTCCCCCTTCAGCCCCACCAAGTAGCTGGGACTATAGGCATGCACCACCACGCCTGGCTAGATTTTGTAGAGACAGGGTTTCACCCTATTGCCCAGCCTGGTCTTGAACTCCTGAACTCAAGCCATCCACCAGTCTTGGCCTCCCAAAGTGCTGGGATTACAGGCTTGAGCCACGGCACCCAGCCCAATTCCATCATTTTATGTGCAGATTCCCACAGTTTTTCTCTTCTTCACCAGAGTTTATGAGATGGGACTGAGATTAGGTATATTAAAGAGTTAGAATTAAATTTTAATATAACATGATATTGTGTCCGTTTACCGTTAGAAAACTGGCAAAGGGATAAGCAGAGTAATCTGAGGATACATTCAAATGGTATTTCTCAGGAGCCTATAAGCTGTAGAAATCCTGCAGGCAGCAGAGGGACCCATCGCTTTCACCAGGGCCTGAGCAGACCCAGAGCTGTGCATCTCCCTCTACTTCTGGATTGGCCTCATGCTAAGGAAAGAGCCCTCCACAGGTCCCAATGGAAAGACTGGACTGCTTTTGAGGCTCGGTCCTCCTTGGAAGCCTTGAACTACAAGTTTTGGGTGCTTGCCTTAATGAGACTACAGAAAACTCCTCTCTACTCTTCAGTGGCTTTCTGCTTGGCCTCTTAGCCTTTTTCCCTGAGGAGGTAACAGGCACCTGTTCCAGGGAACAAACCTGTGCTGAGTCAGCCTCACTCATCTGAACCTCCCTTCATTCTATTATTGTGGCTCCTGAGTTCTGGCTGCTCTCATTTTGTCTCCCCAGCTCTACTGCATTGCCCATAGCTCTTCTGATTTTCCTGCTCTTAGCTACTGCCCTTTCCCTGGCTCCTCAAAGTCTTTCCCAAGCCCAAAATCAGCAAATGCCATCGGGGGAAATAACATATGGAAAGGTGGCCGCAGCGTAATCCACGTCTCTTTTCTCTGGTATCTGTCCCCTACATCCTGGCTGTGTGGCTAGTATCCAGTGGCTTCAGAAATGTTTTGTTTTTGTTGATGCTGTTTCATTTCATTGTACTGTTCGGTTATTGGTGGGTTGGTCCATGTTTATTAGCTGCTTTAAAGAAATATTTTATCTGGCCTTTATAGTTGTTCTTAGGAGTGGTGGTCTCCTCAAAGTTACGCCATCAAAACCACAAATGGAAGTCTAATGGTTGTTTTTAAACTCTAACAGGAAGGAACAAGTAGAGGGGGTGGGGGTTTAAGGTAAAAGAGAAAAAATAGGTGAATGATACAGGAGATACACCAAAAGCAAACCCTGATAACCTATTAAAAGGATTTCAAGAACTAAGACTCTTAAAATATAAAGGACCTATAGCTTGGTCTCAGAGGCAGCAGGAGAAGGGAATCTGGGAGGATATGTTCCCCTTATCCTCAGACTTTGGCAGGAAAGACCCAGGTAGAATAGGAAAGGCAGATACACTTATATAAAGCATGGAACTGTAATCAGAGTCCTGGGAGGCATCACTAATGATTAACAAAGATTATAATAATGAAATCCCAGCAAAGAACTCAATATCAGGAAGGACCCAAACCTGTCAGATGTGGTTCACTGGCTTCTCATCCTGCATGGGGATGTGTTTGGGGATTAGAGTAATTAGCACCATCAGGAAGTGTTGGGATTCATTGGCACAGGGCAGTCACTTAGTTTGGGGATCTCTTAGCTTTTATACCTCATTTGTCTTGCAACTAAAAGACTTTATAACTCACAAATATTCCCCATACAGTTATAATTGATAAATCCATAAATTTAAGATTAATTTACAACAAACAATCCAGGTAGATAAAATACATCCTGATAATCAGTGCCTAGATACCAGCTATAATAATCCAGTTATCTTCCAGCTAGTACATTTCATCAGCTGAAATTTACAAGGAATTCTGGTTAGAGCCAAATACTGCCCTGGGTGTTTCAAGGAGGAAGAAACAAGGTACTAATCTGTTATAAGCTCTCATTCCCAACAGGGTACATTGAAAGAGGGGAGAACATAGGCAGTTTGGGGAGACTTGAACAGGAGCTTCCAGGGGCCTAAGAAGGTTCCATGCCTGGTAGTCACCAAGCCGCCAGGTCCTGCTGGAGGTGGTGGCCAAGTGTGGGGAGGGGATGTGTAGATGTATATGAGAAGCACTTACCTTGCAGCAGGGTAGATTGTTTGTTTTTCCTCTGCCATGAAATTTCACACAAAATCAAATGGAATAAAGTTATTGTAATTGAGGATAGCTCTATGTCCACAGGGGGCCCACTACTGTCCCAGGAACACAGCCACACAATTTCCCGTGAAATAAGAAGAGTTAAACTGAGCTTTACAGTTTACAGGTATCCTTCAAAATAATTAGCCTGTAATCATATGGATTTAAATTCACTTAATTTGGTGCTTCACTTAAGTGTCTATAAATGTAATAATTTCCACAATTCACCTTTTCAACAAATCCTTCCCTTAGAACAATTTATTTTACAGAAACCATCAGGAAATCAAATTCTATTAAACCTTACGCAATCATTTTCATCAACATCATCAAGGCATTATTTATATGTAAACAAAGGCACATATTATAAATATTCAGTTTGGTGCTTTGTGACAAATTCATAAACGATGCAACCACTACCGTTTAAGATAGAGTATATTTCCATTAGCCCCAGATTTTCCTCATCTGCCATCAATCACCTCTACTCACTGCCCTAGACAACCCTGGCCAGATTTCCATCTCTAGAGATTATTATACAGAGTACATACTTAACACTGTGGGACTCACCTCATGAATTTCTCTTTTCTTATGGGTTAGTCTTGCACTGCCTGGTGGTCAATACTGAAAGTGTTACCTTGTCAATTTTGTCTAATTCTATGGTTGTTTACATTGGGAAGGCTAGACTAGTACTAGATCCATCATAGTGAGAAAAAGTCCCATGCAATTGCTTTTATTACTGTATCATAAGGATATGATGTAACTTAAATTTAGGTTTCTACTTTCCAAAGATGTACATAAGCAAAACACACAGATACTATTAGCTGAAGAGTTCTGTACCAATTAATAATATCTTAATGGGTTAGAGTTTTAATAATGTTAATATTTAACCTTCATCATTTATTGGAGGTATTTTTTTCAGCAAGACTGTAAATTAGTGCTGGCAAAAATTTATAGCCCCAAAGCCCTGAAAACAGTTTCACCCTCACTTCCCTCTGACAGCCACACCCATTTCCCTCCAACAGCCAAGACTGGCCCAATCCTGATGGAGGCAGGAGCTGTCTAATTTCAGCACATTTATTTTCCTGCAAATCAGGTAGCATGTATCATTCTTGGAGATCAGGGAGCAGAGAGGTAAGGTTACGGAAAATCTCAATCAGCTGTTACACTCTCATCTAAGTGAATAAAATATCTCTGGAGCACCTGCTTAATGTTCCAGATACCACCAGGTAGGAGGAAATATTCAGAAAGCAAAAAAAGAAAGAAGGATAAAATGAAAGAAAAGAAGGAAAGGGAAGGCAAGGGAAGAGAAGGGAAGGAAATGTGTCTCTGTTCTGAAAGATACTATAGTTGTGTAACTGCAGAAGACCTAGATGGTAATTCCATATGATAAGATGACTTACAGAGACATGAGTGAAGCCTTAAGAAAGCTCAGAGAGAAGTCACCGACTGCCTGTGCAGAAGGCAAACAGATGAAGGAATATTTAAGTAGATACAAATGCAATAGGTACAAATCTGACAGTCAATATTTGTGACTAATAAAGATATTACTTGCTTTGTTTCTTTGCAACTAACTGTAACTTATCTCTGAAATGACCATCTCTCTTTGGTAGCAGGTAATTTAATTTTACCAATTCAAGAATCATTCAATTGCTTCTGGCTTAATATTCAGTCTCTGGAGGAAACACTCTATTTTCCTCTTCCTCTTCCCTTTTCCTGAGGGTGTACTTTATGGTGATCTAATTCCTAGGAATTTCCTTTTATTAATTTGTTTAGGTTTGAATAGGGGGCTTGCATATTATCCAGGCATTGAGGGGAAGTTAACTGGTCCTTCACCATCAGCACGCATCTATGGTGGCATTTTCCAAGATGAACAATCATTCTTCATTTATCACTGCATTCGTGACAGAGAGGTCTACACTTCTGTTCATTAGTTGGTCACTATGTTCATGCAGGTCATTCTCCATCCTCCTTAGCTCTACTCCAATGCCTGTCCAGGTCAGCTGGGTCACCCTCGAAGACTCAATACCCTTCCCAGGGCACATGCACAAAAAAAAGTTTTGACATTCTCATGCCCCAGAATATTTCTGTTTGTATTATGTGTAGCTGTCTTTGGTTTTATTTTGAAGTAGTGGAATAGAGTGATTAACAGTGCAGACAATGGAGCAGCCAGTTTTTCTGGATTTAATTCCCAGTCCCACCAAGAATCAGCTGTGTAATCTTCAACTAGTCACCTAATCTCTCTGTGCTTCATTTCTCTTATCTATGAAATGATAAGCATAGTCTACTTCACCGAGTGTTGAGAATGAAATAAGTTGATATATCCAACACGCTTAGAGTACAGTCTATACAGAGTGGGTGTTTTAATAACACCACAATGGAGACTGGGTTTCAACATAAATTTTGGAGGGGTGACATTTAAATCACCGTAAAACCCATATTCTTTACTCTGGGGTTCTTATTATATGGATGGAGAGGGGTATTATTTGTTGAAATCATTGATGGTCAAGTGATCTGTTACGTACTGCTGAAATCGCACCTAATAAAGACCCCATCTTGCCCTAGAGAGCTCTAAGATACACTGAGAGGTGAGATTCGGAGGTTTTACCAGAAGAAGGCAATTTCTGTGGTCCTTCTCTCTTGCCCCCCACCCTAATCCTACTTGGTTCATAGTGACAATCAGGTCTCTCAACTAGATTCTGCCCCATGATAGCTCTCTCAAGTCGGCTTATATTCCTGCAGCATCCTTGGAGATAGACTAAGGTCAATTGTGTCTGACCTACATCTGAAGCAAAGGAAGCTTAAGATAGTGAGACCACTTGCTCAGACAGCATAAGGAGCATGCAGACGGGCTTTAAGTGAAGTTTTTCTCCTCCTTCTGCCTTGGACACCTGAAGCTAATTTTCTCTGTGAGTTAAGTCTCCCAGGTCCTGGATACTTCCCTCATGGTCCCAAGGCAGCTTTATAGAATCCCCAGGATAAGCCAGGCACAGTGGCTCACACCTGTAATCCCAGCACTTTGGGAGGCCACTGCGGGTGGATTGCTTGAGCCCAGGAGTTCAAGACCAGCCTGGGTAACAAGGTGAAACCCCATCTCTACAAAAAAATATTCAGGCATGGTGATGCACACACATAGTTCCAGCTACTCAGGAGGCTGAGGTAGGAGGATTGCTTAAGCCTGGGAGGTCAAGGGTACAGTGAGCCGTGATTGTGCCACTGCACACCCGCCTGGGTAAAAATGTGAGAACTTGTCTCGAAAAGAAAAGAAAAATCCCCAGGATATTTTTTCCTCCTTCTCTGCCATGGGGGCTCCTATTTTCTTTTCTCCTGTATTCATGGACTTTTTGCTTGTAACAAAGAGGACAGAATTGATTCTCATTCTTCCTCTCAATAGCAGGGAATTCATGAATTCTTTCAGAGCTTCCAGGAGCCAAGAAAATGAAATGGGGTATTCATTCACAGAGTAGCATCGGAGCCCACACAGAGTTAATATTGGCCTTTACTTCTCAATGCCACCAAGGCAATATAAATGCTCACAGGGGCCAGAATTAGGAACAGCAGATGAAGTTCTGACAGTGGTATCTCAGGCATCAGCAAGCCAGAGGAAAAATGCTTGCCATAGGCTGCTAACCAGCAGAATCATGGAGTTGTAATATATCAAAACAATGGCAGGGCCATCATGGGTCTGTGGGTATCATCACCATATTGTCCCCATGGAAGTTCTAGATCTAGGGACGGCAATTAAATCCAAGGCTCAGCAGTAAGTTAGCAAGGAAGCCAGAAATAGAACATAGGTTACTGAACAAAGAGATCTGGAGCTCTCTTTGTAATTCCATTCTTAGTTACATGGTACCTGGTATATAGATAATTTTAGACTATGTTAAAATGTGCCCAAGTTCCTGGACAATATGACATTCATCTTTAGTGAGGCCATGGCTCTCATATAACCCAACCCCAAGCATGAGAGGAGAGGATTTATATGGTTTAATAAATCTGTAGAGGAAAAAAACTAATTTTCCTCTACTAAAGGACACTCAGAGACCATGAGGTATTTGGACAGCAAGTTCTTCTTCACTCAAGGATCCTAGGCAGTTCTGAAAGCAGATGTACCCTCAGCCTCCTGACATCTCAATGTGTTATCACTCAAATCTGCACCAGCAGCACAGGAGCCAGTGGGAAGATAAAGTTTGAATGTGGAGTAATAAGCTTTGGAGTCAGGGCCCTGCAATCTAATTGTGGTCTTATTGCTAATTCCCAGTGTGGCTACAGAGAATTCTACATCTCTCTCTTCTGAATAGATTCATTGGTGAAACAAATATAAAATCCTTTATTGATCAGACACAAGGAATCAGGCCAGATAAACTTTTGTCCTGGTAATGTGATAATGTCTCAATTTCCACAGGCCTGGATACCTAATTCTATGTGTGTTTCAGGAAAATGGAAACTTGAGCTAGGGAAGGGAATGAATTTGCTGACACAGCCCCTGTCAGGAAATCTTGATGTTAATCCTCTAAGGTTCTTTCTCTGTCTTCATAATTCTAATATGCTCTGCAAACATCCCTACTTTGCTCTGCCCCAAGCTTTCACCAGTCACCTCTCAGGTGGTGAGGACAGGCATGCTGATATTCTGATGGAAGAGACCCAGTCAGACCAGGGAAAATTACCAAGTCCACAACCATGTCTAGAAGTAAAGTGACCATCTCTTTCTTGTTTTTCAGGGACATTCCCAGTTTTCAAACTAAAAACTCTCCATCATGGGAAACCTCTCAATGTCAGAAAAATGGAAATAATTGGTCACTATTATTGTATTAGTCTGTTCTCACACTGCTATAAAGAACTACCTGAGACTGGGTAACTTATGAAGAAAAGAAGTTAATTGACTCACAGTTCCACAGGCTTAGCAGGAAGCATGACTAGGAGGCCTCAGAAAACATAATCATGGCAGGAAGTGAAGAGGAAGCAGGCACTTTCTTCACATGGTGGCAGGAGAGAGCAAAGGGGAAAGTGTCACACACTTTTAAACCATCATATCTCATGAGAACTCACTCACTATCATGAGAACAGCAAGGGAGAAATCTGTCCCCATGATCCAATCACCTCCCATCAGGTCCCTTCTCTAACTAGACATGATATTTGGGCAGAGACAAAAATCCAAACCATATCATTCTGTCCCTTTCCCCTCCCAAATCTCATGTCCATCTCACATTTCAAAACACAATCCTGTCTTCCCAACAGTCCCCCAAAGTCTTAACTCATTTCAGCATTAACTCAAAAGTCCAAGTTCAAAGTCTCATCTGAGACAATGCACATCCTTTATGCCTATGAACCTGTAAAATAAAAAGCAAGTTGGTTAGTTCCTAGATACAGTGGGAGTACATGCATTGGGTAAATTCTCCCCTTCCAAAAGGAAGAAATAGGCCAAAACAAAGGGGCTACAGGCCCCAAGTAAGTCTGAAACCCAGCAGGGCAGTCATCTATTACATGCTTTATGCCAGGTGGAAAAATAGGAATATTGCATGATGCCAGGTCGTCTATGAACAGCCAGACCCCTGAAAAGAACTGGCTTCATCTGTCATTTTCTAACTCTCCTGCCTCATGTTCAGCCAAGAGAGGCTAGAAACTAGTATTTTGCTTTTATTCAACATTGTATGAAAGCAAATGATACTCCTATCCAAAAAAAAAAAAAAAAAAAAGATGGATATTAGAAATATGGTCTCTGTCTTGGTGACAGACTATCACTTAGTGTTTACAGAATAACAGGGGCAATCATGACAAAAATAATAACTATAGTTGATTAAATATTTAATATTTAATAAATATTTACTTAAGATGTAGACATACTAACTTAACATTCATAGTCTCTATAAACAGTATGTGCGTTTAACCTTGTTTTATGGATTTTTTAAGTGAGTATTGGAGAAGTTTAATTACTTATATCAAGCCATGTGGTTTTATCTTTTTTGGCATTAAAATTTAGATCATATTTAGTGTGATCCTTTGTATTATGGATCAGCAAATATTCACTATTCTGCCTCCGGGGCTCAGAAATCCAATGTTTTCCCACCCAGATCTATGAGATTGTTGAAACTTGAGACTAGTTTTAGGTCTCTTGACTTCTGCTTTTTGCTTGGTTCCTGGATATCTTGCCCCTGTGCAGTTTGAGATGGCCTGTCTTTTGGATCTTGGCCCCCTCAAGTTCCAGCTGCTTTGATAAACCTGAGTTCCACTTCTGTTTCTCCCACCCAATGAGACTGCAGAAAGATCTATGCCATGATTTTCTCTTTGTCTTTGGTGCTCCATATTGAAAATCAGTGAGTAACCAAAGGAGAAGTGACAGAGAAGGTCTAGCTCATGCAATGTTTACCTTCTCTCCACATTATTGGTCCAATGGTTGCTTTCTTTGCTCTCTGATGATATTGAGCAGTTATTTTTTGTTCCACTTTTATATTTTTTCTTAGCAGATGGATTGATCTGGCAAAAGATTTTCTGTTAGAATCAGAAACAGAAGACTCAGATTCAATTTTAAATGCATCAGTTTTGAGTCACATTAAATTAATATTTTTAAGAATCTTAAGCAATATTGGTAGTCTGCCTTCTAGGAATATTGTAGGAAATTTTATTTCAAATTGCCGTGAATAGAATATTTGTTTTTTACTCCACGTATAACACTGGACCCAATGATTATTGTTACTTTTTAAATTTATTTTATAAAAATTATATCTTATTTTATTAATTTTTGTGATATGACCCTTAATTCATAGATTATTTATCTGTGATTTTTAGCTTTTGTTTCTAAATGTTGGGTAATTCTTCATTATTCCTTGGTAAGTATTAAAATTCACAACTTGATAAAACTTCTATAACTTTTTGTTCTCTAGTCTATCTCTTATTTCACTTCCCTTATTATTTTTGCCACGAGAATCCTATAACATGGAAAACTCAGATGCATTTATTAAGACTGGATTGTCCCCCAAACCTGTGTTAGAATAAATGACAGGACACAAGTGTGACATATCATCAGTCAGTATCAGCAATTAGCGGTTCAATATTTCAAGGACTTATCCTAATGGACCTTAGCATTGCTGAACTATGTAGCCTGTCTTTATTACAGAACTGTCTGTGAGAACAAAAGCCTGGAAACAAGTTTCCATCTTTGTCTATCAAAATGGCACTAATTGAACAAACCAGTCGTATTACAGGAAGAAAACGAGAAATATCTGCAGTTCTTGTTAGGTAGTGATCTCCAAAAACTATTTTAAAGGAAAGTATTGATACAAAAGGTAAGAAACCATGTGAATAGTATTCTAATAGTAACTTAAAGACAGAAAGATATTGATGTATCTGTTCACATGTGTTAAAATAAACTATAAATTTTTTAAAATGACCTACAACAGGAGAAAGAAAGACAAAAGTAGAATGAAAGAGGCAAGAGGAACGAAACATAGACTTCCTTGAATATACCTTGCTTTGTAGATTAGATTTTGAAGCAATGAGAACACTTTGCATAATAATAAAAAGTTAAATTTATAAAATTTTAACCCTAAATATTTTTTAAAAAGAATGAGTGAACTAAATATGATTCCAGTTGGTAGGATAAATGTGTGTTTAACAAGAAAGTATTTCATGCAACTTTAAAACATAAGAATTTGTCTGAACTTTCCTAGTGGGATATACCTTAAGGGAAAAAAATCTAAAAAAAATTTTTTTTTTAAATTTATCATCCATATTGGTACATGGTAGTATCATTATTTCTCTTCATAGGAATAGTTCAACTAATAATGGAAAAGTAATAATAGAATTAAAAATTAAAGTATCACCATTTTACAACTCCTAATTAATTAATGAATCTAGGCATTATTTTTCAAAGCTGCTAACAACAAAACAGTCAGCAGACATTATGCACCTCCAGATGAAAAACACAACACCTCTTATGAAAGGTTCTTAGAAAAAAATAAACGTTCAAATCTAAATTTTAATCCTCTAAACCCAGCTGCAGGTTTATAAAAGAAGCCATGAAATTGAGAACTATGTTTAACATATCACAGGGTAATCTAATCAATAAATAGGAAACCATAGGACAAATGGTCTGGTTTCATCAAAAAATAAATTGCAAAGGAAAAAAATAGTGATGGGTAGTGAATCTACAGATTAAAAAAGACTTAAAAATTCAATCAACCAATTGTAATGTGTGGGCCTTCACTGGATCATGAGTAAAACAATCTATAAGCAAAACAAAATATTTATATCAATTATGAGACAATGAGAAATTAGAATATTGACTGCATATTTGATGACATTGGGGAATTATTGTTATTTCTTAAAGTAAAAGTATTTTATAGGCATTATAGATCCAATATAGAATATTCAGTTAAACTCGAATTTCAAATAAACAACATGTAAGTTTCTTGTATAAGTACATTTCATGCAATATATCCTGTGTTTTTCATCTGCTAAATCTACAATTCTAGTATTATGGGTATATTGAAAATATAGTCTTTATTTTTACATATATATGTGCATATATACATATATACATTTATACATATATACAGTAATATTTAAAAACAAATAATATGATGTCTGGATTTGTTTGTATATACATATAGACACACTCACATATATATGCAGAAATATTTAAAAATAAATAATATGATGTCTGGATTTGCTTTTAAGATGACTTGGAGGCAATGAAACACATGAGGGTATAGATAAAACAAGGTTAACCCTTCACTGCTAACTGTTAAATATGAGAGAGGTATGAGGGAGGCAGGTTCATTATATTATTCTGTTTGTGTGCCTGTTTCCAATTATTCAAAATAAAATATTTTAAAAATTGTACCCTGAATATTTCCAGGCCTCACCAGCAGGTGTACACAAGTAAGAGACGATAACACCAGTTCCTAGGTTACAATGTTTGTGAATTTCCACCTGAATTATATTAGAATCCTGACTCAAAGCCTTCTATATTTATTTTAGTTTCTTCAGGGATGTTTCACATGTGCTTAGGGTAGTTCCAATCGTCCCTTTTCAGGGAAGCAAACACCTCTCTTGGCTGCTGGCACCATCTACCAGGGACTTCCCGGGCTTCCTGGGCTCTCCAGGTGTCAGAGCTGCATTCTAGAACCTGGAGGAAGGGATTGGGAGGGGCTGACATCCGACTCTGTGTCCTACTTTTCAGTGTGGTCCTGAAGCAGCTTCCCTGGGACCCAGAGTCTCAAAAAGTCATAAAACAGCCCAGTTAGCTCCTAGACTCACTGCTTTCTTTGATGAAACAAAACAATAAAAAAATCAGCCCTGCAAGCTAAGGAGGAAGCAAACGAAAGTTCTAATTCCTCCATTGCTCTGCCTTTCCTCTGCAGCCCCCAGTACATTTCATCCCCCTCCTGCCCCAGTCGCTGTCCTGGAGCTAGTCCTGAGCTAAGGTCTTTGGGGAGGGTTATTGCATATGAGGAGGTGATTACACTGCTCTGACTTTATTATTTTTCAGCTGGAGAAACTGAAGCCCAGAAAGAAGACAGTGATATGCCCAGGAAACACCATGCCTCAGAGGCTGAGCTGGGAGTTGGAAGCTAAACCGATTCTAAACTCTAAACACTTTCCCCAGTAGCTATCAGACACTGGGGCAAGCAAGGTGGTCTTCTCCTTGGGAATTTTCCTATACACAATTGAAGCAAAATGAAAGTGCTCCTAGAAAGGCAAAGTTCCAGCAAATCCGATTGCTTTACTGGCTCGTGGCACTGAATCTGGCATGTTTTGTTGATAAAGGGAGGTAATAGAACAGATCTCTGGAGCTTACTTTCCAAGGGCAGGTGAGATGATATTGAGTTCCCTATGAACTGGAGTCCTGGACATTACAACCGAATTAGTACTGCTGTGCACCATTATCCAGAAGTGGACTCCTGAACAGGAACCCCAGGGCAAGCCTTAATCATCCAGGTCATTTCAAGCGGGGACATGGTCAACAATTACATGTTTAGTTATCTTTGTGGGAAAAGGGCAAAGAAGTTGAGAGAGGCAAGGTAAGAAATGTATATGCTTAATATGTAGCGAGCACTTAGCATGAGACAAGGAATTTTAAATGTTTTGCACCCTTTATCTTATAAAATACTGTGCAGTCCTCGTTTTACAAATCAGGAAACCGAGATTTAAAGAAGTTAACACACTTCTCACCAAACAAAAAAAAGCACTTTCTCAATCAGCATCTCATGTCTTCATGAAGCAGATTAGAGATGAAGAGATTATTGTCCTCATTTAAAGATATCCACAAAAGGTATTAACTAAATGAGGTCACTCAGAAATATTAAAGGAGGTCTAGGCCTATAGATAAGGTCTCCTTGTTGCTGGCCAGCATCATGATGTGTCTGCAATTCCACCTTACACCCACTGCAGTTAGGTCATCTTGTAACTGGGCTGCAACAACCTCCCATTGCCATTCTGCAGACATCTGCCTTAAAACACTCTCTTTCCAAACTCTGATTTCAGCATAAGCCCTGCTCAGAGTTGAATATATTTTCCTAAATATTAACTAAAAGACACACACTACTCATAGAAGTGGATTCTGACATTCATCTTTCTGCTTAAGATGAACTTATGCTCAAAATGACCCCCATGGTCCCTCTCAGATGATTAAGGTGTGTGCTCCTGAATGGAATGGTGCAAATACGGGCACACCTCCTATCACTGTGCTTCACTTTATTGTACTTCACAGGTACTGTGTTTTTTACAAATTGAAGGTTTGTGGCACCCCTGCATTGAGCAAATCCATGGGTGTCATTTTTTCATTAGCATATGCTCATCTGGTGTCTCTGTGTCACATTGTAATAATTCTTGCAATATTTTAAGCTTTCTTATCATTATTATATCTGTTATGATGATTTGTGATCAGTGACTTTTGACACTACTATTGTAATTGTTTTGGGGATCCATGAACTGTGCCCATACAAGACAGCAAACTTAACTGATAAATCTTGTGTGTATTCAACCAGCTATTTCCTGTCTCTCTCCCTCTCCTCAACCCCTTTCTAGTCCCGGAGACACAATATTGAAATCAGTCCAGTTAATAATCCTACAATGGAGCTGAGTGCAGTGACTCACTCCTGTAATCCAAGCACTTTGGGAGGCCAAGGCAGGCAGATAGCCTGAGGTCAGGAGTTTGAGACCAGCCTGGCCAATATGGCAAAGCCCTGTCTCTACTAAAAATACAAAAATTAGCCAGGCATGGGAGATGGGAACCCAGGAGGTGGAGGTTGCAGTGAGCTGAGATCACATCACTGCACTCCACCCTAGGTAACAGAGCGAGACTCCATCTCAAATAATAATAATAATAATAATAATAATAATCATCATCATCATCATCATCCTACAATGGCCAATCAGTATTTGAGTGAAAGAAAGGGTCATGTCTCTCCCTTTAAATCAAAAGCTAGCAATGATTAAGATTAGTGAGGAAGGCATGTCAAAAGATAAGACAGGCCAAACGCTAAGCCAAAATGTGAATGTAAAGGAAAAGTTTGTGACGGAAATTAAAAGTGTTACTTCAGTGAATACACGAATAATAAGAAAGTGAAACAGGCTATTGCTGATGTGGTGAAAGTGTTAGTGGTTTGGATAGATGAAACCCGCTACACATTTCCTTAAGCCAAAGCCTAATCCAGAACAAGGTCCTAACTCTCTTCAATTCTGTGAAGGCTGAGAGAGGTGAAGAAGCTGCCGGAGAAAAGTTTATAGCCAGCCGAGTTTGGTTCACTAGATTTAAGGAAAGAAGCCATCTTTATAACATAAATGTACAAGGCGGAGCAGCAAATGCTGATGGAGAAGGAGCAGCAAGTTTTCCAGAAGATTCAGCTGAGATCGTTGATGAGAGTGGCTACACTAAACAACATATTTTCAGTGGAAAAAAAAACCAGCCATCTCTTAGAAGAAGATGCTATCTAGGATGTATATAGCTAGAAAGGAGGAGTCAAATTCCTGGCTTCAAATCTTCAAAGGACAAGCTGTTTCTCTTATTTGGGGCTAACGCAGCTGGTAACTTTAAGTTGAAGCCAATATTCATTTATCATTTGGAAAATCCCAGAGCTCATAAGAATGATGCTAAATAAATTCCGCCTGTGCCCTATAAATGGAACAACAAAGCTCAGATGACAGCACGTCTGTTTACATCAGTTTACTGGACATTTTAAGCTCACTGTTGAGACCTACTACTCAGGAAAAAAAAGATTCTTTTTAAAATATTACTGCTCATTGACAATGCACCTCGTCACCCAAGAGCATCAATAGAGGTCTACAAGGAGATTAATGTTGTTTTCATGCCTGCTAACAGAAGATCCATTCTGCAGTCCATGGATCAAGGAGTAATTTCAACTTGCAAGTCATATTACATAAGAAACACATTTTATAAGGCTATAGCTGCCATACATAGGTATTCCTCTCATGGATCTGAGCAAAGTAAATTGAAAACCTTATGGAAAGGATTCACCATTCTAGATGCCATTAAGAACATTTGCAATACGTGGGAGGAGGTAAAAATATCAACATTAACAGGAGTTTGGAAGAAGTTGATTCCAACCCTCATGGATGACTTTGAGGTGATAAAGACTTCAGTGGAAGAAGTAATTGCAGATGGGGTAGAAATATCAAGAGAACTAAAATTAGAAGTAGAGTCTAAATATGCGAATTGATTGTTGCAATCTCATGATAAAGCTTTAACAGATGAGAAGTTGCTTCTTATGAATGTGCAAAGCAAATTTTCTCGAGCTGGAAGCTACTCTGGATGAAGGTATTGTTAATATTGTTGATATGTTCACAGGAGATATCAAAAGATATAGAATATTATGTAAACTTAATTGATAAAGCAACAACATTATTTGAGTGAATTGACTCCAATTTTGAAAGAAGTTCAACTGTGGGTAAAATGCTATCAAACAGCATGACATGCTCTAGAGAAATCTTTTGTGAAAGGAAGAGTCAATCCATTTGTCAAACTTCATTGTTGTCTTTTTAATAAATTGCCACAGCTGTCCCAATCTTTAGCAACAGCCACCCTGGTTAGTCAGCAGCCATGACCATTGAGGCAAGATCCTCCACCAGCAAAAAGATAAAAACTTGCTGAAGACTCAGATGATTGTTCGCATTTTTAGCATTAAAGTGTTTATTAATTAAGATACATGCATTGTTTTTATAGATAATATTATTTCACACCTCAAAGACTATAGTATAGTGTAAACATAACTTTTGCATGTACTGGGAAACCAAAAAAATTCATGTGACTTCCTTTATTGCAAAATTTGCTTCGCTGTCATGTTCTGGAACCCAATCCCCAATATTTCTGAGGTATGCCTGTACATATTTGAAACTTTAACAATGGATTTGTAATTCTACTGCAGTTAGTCAGGACTATTTTCCTCCTTACTGCTAGTAGAATTGGAGGTATTTTCTATCTTTGCAAGTTAGAACAGGTAAACCAAGCTGGATGAATCAATATCATCACTCACTCCTTCCCAGAATCCTTAGGACCACAAACTTTTTCTCATATAAATCAAATATTTCATAATATAGATTTTTGTATTGACAAAGTCAGAAAACAGTTTTGGCCTTTATATGAAAAAAATGCACCTTGTTAGTATCACCTGTGAATGTTTTTGCATTAGAGGAGGAGAGCCTTGGATACTCCACTGCAGCAGCAGCTACAACAAAAAGAACACCAAATACATCAATACTTTCAGGCATGTCTGGCATCTTATACCTAACAGACTAGCACACAGCACATGCTCCATCTATTATTCTAGAAAGAAGAAAGGAAGAAAGGAGAGATAGAAGAAGGAAGGAAGGATGGAAGGAAGAAGAGAGGAAAGGAAGAAGAGAGGAAAGGAAGAAAGAAAAAAGGAAAGAAGGAAAGGAGGAAGATATTAAGAAAAAGGCTGCATTTTGAGATAAAATAGTGCATAAGTGAAATGAAAAGATACTTATTAAAGCAAATAACAACAACCAAAACTACCTAGAAATAAGTGCACTACTAAAAGAGATAAACACATCAAAATAACTGAAACCTTAAGGTTTGTAAAAATTAGACTCGGATTTCAAGATTGCCTAAAGGATGAAAAATGCCACAGAGTCTGATTCCCTCAGGATTCCTTTGTAAAAATGCATGGGGTTTAATCTCAGCCTTTATATAATTTTATTTCATATAAATGTATATTTTAGTTATATTTAATTCCATTTGGGGGATAAATGTCAAAATGTCAGGTCATTCTATAGTTAATAATGTGGCAAACTAGTGTTATTTTCTCTGGTGACTCTCTATGAAACACATACACTAAAACACAAGCATGCATACAGATACACACCACCACCATCACCAAGTTATTTATGAAGAACAGAATCGTGGATAAAAGCTTAAAAGTTTGAAAAGTCAGACCGATGCTTCCTGGACCTTCACTTGCTAGTCTCTCTAAGTTCTCATTTGCAAAATTGGGAACATGATAAAACCAGCCAAATTGTCCCATACAGCTGATATTTAAGGTCTTTTTGAATCAACATTGTAATTGACCCTCCTAGTCTTAAAGCTTGAAATTTATATTTGTCTTATCTGAGTCCCTTTTTCAGGAAACTGACCCTCTGGCCTCCCAGATAGTATAAAGGAACTGAAACTCACCAGATCACCACATCCAGACAATGAAATGCCAAACCCCTCATTTGTCATGATTGCTTCCTTACCTCTCACTAATTCCTGTTTTCCTGCATAGCTACATTCCTTCCCCACTATATAAACTCCAAATTTTAGTTAGTTGAGGAGACAGATTTAAGGCTTTTCTCTGGTCTTCTCAGCTAATGTCTTCCAATTAAAGTTTTTCTTCCCTGGCGATACTCACTGTCTCCATGATTGGCTTCCTGTGTGGCAAGCAACAAGACCTAGACCAATCCCTTGGCATCAGTATAGTAATATTTATGTTACAAGAAAGTTATAAAGAAATGCTCATTTATTAATTCTACAAATAGACACAAGTTGCATCCTCTACACCAGGCGCCCTGCTAGGAGCTTAGGTGCAGACACAAGATCCCTATCTTTTAGGAATTTACCTTCCAGATGGGAAATACATAAAGAAAAAGGCAACAAATAAATGCTGTAATGCTCTGAACAAAATTCTAAAAGGTTTTGATAGAAAATAATTGGAAGGACTACTTTAGATAGTAGGGTCATGAAAATCCTCTTAGATGTCATTGAATCTGAAACCTTAGGTGTGAGGAGGCATCACTGAGGAAAGACAGATTCAGGCAGGGAGAATGGTGTACACCAAGGCCCTAGGAATAGTGAGTTCCAGACAAGGTCCAGGGTACTGAAGAGCAGGGGGCAAGGAGAAGAAGCACGAGGTGAGTTATAGAAAGGAGTCAAAGTCAGACCATGCAGGCCTTTAGATCCTAGAAGAGTATGCATTTTATTGTAAGGGCAAAACAAGGCTGTAAGAAGTATCAAGCCTGAGAATGACTTTATCTGACTTACATTTTTTAATAATGTAGCTTCTGTCTGGAGTATGAACAGCAGAGGAGCAAGAATAACAGTGGAAAGATGAGTTAGGAGGCAAATCATATCAGATTAGAAAGAGAAGGTAGGGCCATGAGCTAGGACAGTAGCACCGGAGGAGAGAGATGCTCATGTTTTTCATATACAGTATTTTGAATATAAGACAGGCAGGTCTTTTGGGTACAGGATAAACAGAACTTGATGAAAGATTGGGTACCAGGGGTAAATGAAAGAGAGAATTCTAGGCTGCACCCCAAATCCTGCTTTAGTGGATAATATGGCCATTTACTGAGAAGAAGACTTGAGGAAAAACAGGTTATGGGTGCAAGTAAGATAATGCATACCTTGTATGGAAAGCACTTAGCACCATTCCTGACATATAATATGCTTGGCAGCACTAAACGAAAATGTTCCTATTGTCTGATAATTCAGGCCCATTAGTTTCCCTTGACAACCCATTATAATTTAAATAAAATTTTCCAAAAGCATTTTCAGTTTCCTGTTTCTGTTCACTTTCCAATAATTAAATGTTCAAGTTCTGTATGTTTTTTATCTTAAAATCCCATGTGGTAATGAAGGCAAAGATTCTCATCACTGTCCCTATCTTCTCATCTTAAATAAACACTGCACACTACAGTGATTATCGTGATTCACTCTTTCCAGCTATTCTTCCCTTTCTACGACTACAGCAAACCTCTTTGTTCATCTGCAACAAAAGTGCCACCCAAGCCATGACTGGAGACAAAGGCCTATCTAGTCCAATGACCTATGACTGGGGAGGCCCAGAATTGAACAATAGAAGTCACCTGCACATACAGGGAAATTGCCACAGGCTGGGTACTGTGCAGCAAGCACTTTACAAGAAGTTTAGCTTCTGGAATGGGCAAGTTATGCATTACATAACTCCAAGGGATATTACAGTCCTTATAGATTTATATAGTTATAAAAATTTTCCAGCAGAGGATAGTAAAAAATGTTTAAAAGAGGGAATCTTTGCTACAACGTGAAAGATTTCTGTTGGCTTAGGGATTGGGCATGCAATCTCTTATTAAAGACTTATAACTATTCAGTGAGATGGGTTCTGTTGTTATCCCTCCTCTGATGCCGCTGAGAAAACTAAAGCTTAGAGTGACATGTTGCCCAAGGTCTCCCTAGAAAATGGTAGAGTTGTGATTTTATGCCAGGTCTGAATTCAAAACCCATGCTCATAATTTCTAAGCTGTACAAACTCCCAAAAGACATTTCTGATTCCTCTTATTTTCTCTTATACTGTGTAAGATATTTCTTAAATATAATTTTAGTTGTTTTTTATTCTCAAACAATACTGAGTATAATTTAATGCCTGACATAAATGCCAACTATAATTACAGTAGCACTGGCTACTTCATAATTAATATCTAAAACTAATATCTACTTTAATTGGTACATAACATAATGATGAATTAATCTGGCAATTTTCTTTACAAAACAAGCAAAAATTTCATTTCTTCTTAGACTCAGAGTCAGTCTTTTTTTTTTTTAGTTAATAATTTTAGAGATTAAATAATTCTTGCAATAGGCTTTTACCAAAAGGAAAGTTATAATCAGGGCACATTTGTCTCCTTCTCTATTATTTTACTTCAGATGTGTTAAACATTAATACTGATCAGACACTTTGCAAATGATATTTTGATCAAGCATCACAGCAGTGGAAAAAACAGAATTTTTATAGAAAATTGAATTTACTTTTTCTCTTTCAGCTGATATGAAGTTCCTTGTGATAGAAGAGACGTATATGTTGCTATTGGAATTTTAGGAAAAAGACAAACTGTAAAATTGGGAAGAACAGTGTCGTGGAATGACCACAGGATCTTGAAGACAAACTATTTCGTATCCCACACTCACTGTTGAGCTATTTCCAATAGAAGAAGAATATACATTATCTAAGAAATATGTATATATTTTTTATCCCTGATAAAAATATCCAAAAGAGCCCAACACAGTGAAGACAGCTGAGGGAGGAGAAATAGTTGCCCAGTGTGAGCTAAATTGTCCTCAGGCAATTCACTTTTCCTGAAAGCCACAATTTCTAACCAATTTGGAATTTCAAACATACAAAAATTACACCAAACTTAGAGTAATTTGTTGCACATGTATGCACTACAACAACTTTGAGTCTTTGCATTTGTTATCTTTTCCTGTAATTTTCTTTTCTATCCAATGATTTTCCATTAATTTTGAGGAACCAGCAAAGTGACAATTGTCATTTCCAACAAAATGAAGACATAAATAGAAATAAGGTGGTCTCTTCTCAAAAGAAGACATTTATGCAGCCAACAAACATATGAAAAAAAGCTCATCATTACTGGTCATTAGAGAAATGCAAATCAAAGCCACAATGAGATACCATCTCATGCCAGTTAGAATGGTGATCATGAAAAAGTCGGGAAACAACAGATGCTGGAAAGGATGTGGAGAAATAGGAATGCTTTTACACTGTTGGTGGGAGTATAAATTAGTTCAACCACTGTGGAAGACAGTGTGGTGATTCTTCAAGGATCTAGAACCAGAAATACCATTTGACCCAGCAATCCCATTACTGGATATATACCCAAATTATTATAAATCATTCTACTATAAAGATACATGCACACGTATGTTTATTGAAGTACTATTCACAATAGCAAAGACTTGGAACCAACCCAAATGCCACCAATGATAGACTGGATAAAGAAAATGTGACACATATACACCATGGAATACTATGCAGCCTTATAAAAGGATGAGTTCATGTCCTTTGCAGGGACATGGATGAAGCTGGAAACCATCATTCTCAGCAAACTAACACAGGAACAGGAAACCAAACACCACATGTTCTCACTCATAAATGGGAGCTGAACAATGAGGACACATAGACACAGGGAAGGGAACATCACACACCAGGACCTGTCAGGGGGTGGGGGCTAGGGGAGGGATAGTATTAGGAGAAATACCTAATGTAGATGTCGGGTTGATGGGTGCAGCAAACCACCATGGCATGTGCATACCCATGTAACAAACCTGCACATTCTGCACATGTATCCCAGAACTTAAAGTATAATTTAAAAAAAAAAATAAGAAATAAGGTGCTCTATAGTCCTCTGCATAGCTATGATACTGGGGTCTAGTTCTGGGTACCAGACATTTAAAGTGAAGCAGGTTCAGAGAAAAATCTAGAATACAGTCACATAAGAAATGGTGAGATAGATGAGGATATTCAATTGAATAATGAAAAAACTTGGGCTGCTTTGGTCAAAGAACAAAATTTTAACAAATTGAGTTCACATACATAATAGGCTTTTATTAGCAATTATGAATCAGACAGCATTTTATCTGCTGAGCATAGGGAGTGGACTTTATAAGCAGAGAAAGGCTGGAGAAAGCAGAAACAAGGGGGAAAAAAAGCAGATTGATAAATCACAGATTACTTCAGGTTACTTTCCTTGCAGGGTTAAAGCAGAGGGGACCTCCATAGCATGCCAGCTCAGGATGATTAGGCCCTTTTTTATTGGGTGCTGTGGATCTCTTAGTTTTTTGGAAAAACTGACCTGTTTGGGGATTTGGCTATTACCTCTCTCCTGATTTCTCAAGAAGTCAGATCTTATGAGTGAACAGCTTAGGTTTCACTTGGTGACGATGTGAACATTAGCACAAGTGACTACATTTTGGGTTGATCTGCTGGAGCCTAGTGCAGGGGCTTAGTCCAAATCAATGGCCTCCCGTAAGTTTTCCTGAACACCTTCAGCTCTTTGAAGGACTGTCATGTAAAAAAAAAAAAAAAAAAAAGGAACATATATATGTGTGTGTGTGTGTGTGTGTGTAATACTACATATTATATATAGAATATTATCTACATATATGGAGTATATATAGTTTTATAGTTTTATTTTTAATTTAATATATTTATGTATCTGTAAATAAATATAAATACATAAATATCTTACTCTATGTCTCTTCACATGAAATTACTCAGGACATTTGTGGAACTTGCAAGCGTACAAATTTTCATTAATATAAAGTAGCCCATTCCAAATATGAGAGCTGTCCTGCAGTGGAGCAGACTATTTCTTGAGGTGACTTACCCACAAGGCTGGAGACACACACGGAGGTGCAGGGTGGTTGACTGCATCAGAAAGATGTCTGCAGTGAGAGGGAAGTTGGACTAAGTGGCCATGCACTGAACTTTACGGACGTTGGAGAAGCTAGCCTTTTGGGGAGGGAAACAGTTCCCCGTGATTCAATATTTGAGTTACATTTGGAGAAAGGTTTCAGAGCCTATTTAAAAGCCACTACACAGGAGGTAATTTCATTACTTCAGTTATTTCTCATTTCTTTCTGCTATCTTTCCCTCACTTGATCACCAGACTTGACTCTAAATAACACTTAGCTATTTGTTAAACTTTAACTTACATCAACATAGAGCACACAATCTACTCCACAGATAATACTCAAAAGGACATGTTTACTGAAGACAGATAGAATCATTGGAATAAGCACACAGCCTTCCCAGGTATTGATTTTGAGCCAGACCACAATATATTTTAGTGCCTTTGTTATAATTTGGTCACCTTACTGTGTAGTTATATTTGGTGCTTTTGTAATAATAGCAATCACCTCACATTTATGTAGTACAAGTTATAAAGCCCAATCATACATATTATATTAGTTTGGTTTGATCCTCAGAAAAACCTCGTGATGTATAACAGACAGATCACTATCTCCATTTTTCAAATAAGAAAACTAAACAAAACAAGTGACTTACCTGTAACAAATGTCTGGGTCAAGATCTGAACTTTTGGACCATGAAAACCAATATGGTTTGGTATGTAACAGCTTGAACTCTGTCACCCAAGACCTGGCTATTCCTCTTCTTAGCCACATGACATTTGACCAAGTCATTTAACTTCTCTGTCTTCAGTTCCTTTATCCTCAGAATAGGGGTAATAAAATTATCCATCAGCTAAAAGTGCTGTAAAGGCTATGATGAAATCTAGGTACTGGCCAGTCCATGGTAGTACTCAATAAATTGTACCTACTATTACACTCTGCTGCCTATGACATTTGTGTATTTATGCTGCATGTATGAGGGCAAGCGCCCATATGGCAGTTGGCTCTGGCATCCTGGAAGCAATGAAAACACTTCAATGTGTCTCAGCACCACCAGTCTTGCTCTGATGCACTGATCCTATGAGAAGAAGCAGGTGCGGCACCCAGGGGGACTGCTCCAAAATATACACCCAAAGTGCAGGGAGTTATTAAAAAGAAGAAGGGTTGCTAAATGGCATCAAAAAACAAAAAAAACATGGTGGCAAAAATGGTAATATGTCCACATCAAAATTAAGACCTTCTATATTTCAAAGTATGCCATAATCAAAGTGAAAATTAAAACCACATACTACGGAAAAAAATTATATACTCTAAAATAAAAAGCACAGGATTTTTACTTGGAAAACATAGAGCTATCAAGTATTCCTATTCTTAATGCTTCCTTTGACAAATGGTGATAGAGCATCTACTACATGCTAGGAAGCTTTCCAGATCCTGAAAAAACTAAGATCCTACTCAGATGGAACTTAGATTCTAGAAATTTTAAAATGCACACATTAAAAAATAACTGAGTATATAAGTACATACATAATAAAGTCTTTTCATTGGTGCTGTGATGAAAATATAGCAAAGTAGATCAGGATTGTTGTCAGCTGGGGTCGGGCAGTGGTCTTTTTAATGAGCAGGCAGGGAAAGTCTTCTCTAAAGAGGTAAACAGAAACCCAGATGAAATGAGAGATCCAATTGCGCAAACCTCTAGAGGAAGGACATCCCAGAAAGAGAGAAAAACAAATGAAAAGCTTATGAAGCAGAAACACACATGATATATTCAAGGCACAGCAAGAAAACCCATGGACTAAGTATACTGGAAAATAGCAAGCGATGAGCCTGGTCAATTTAAACAGGCATCGGTGCATATAGTGACCCACAGGACTTAGAAAGTCATTTGGGCTTTATTCTGAGTGCAACGTGAATCCATTGGAGAATTATAAGTGAAGAATGCTTTATCTGATTTTAATTTTAGAAAAGTAATTTTGCCAAGTATGTGTAGAATTGATTCTGAGAGGTCAAGAGTGGAAGTCATTATAGTAAGATTGTTAGAATGCTGTTGCACTAATATAGAGAAGAGAGATGGTGGATCTCACTACAGTAGCAGCAGTGGTAATGGAGAGAAGGCAGTGGTTATGGAATGTATCTTGGAGATAAAGCAAACAGTGCTTCCTGATAGATGTGGGAGATGAAGAATGAGGAACCGAGGATGACTCTAGGTTTTTCAGCCCAAGGAGTTTGTTAAGTAGTAATAGCACTTTCTAAAATGGGGAAATCTGAGGGAGGACAGTTATTTATTTGGAGATAGCAGGGTGGGGGTGGGGAGTGCCATCAAAAGTTCTGTTTAAGCAAGTAATGTTGGAGATGCCCAATAGAGATTTAAGCAGAAATGTAATATAGGAAATTGAAGATATGAAGTCTTGGAAAAAGATACAAATTTAGTACTGGATGAGATCACAGTGAGTTTGTGGAGAAGGGAGAGGAGGGAGAAGAAAAGGGTGGGGAAGGGAGGGAAGAGTTAGGGTAAGTAAAGTGAGGCTAATCAGGATATGGGAAGAAAACTGCAACTAGAATGAAAATAGAAGTTACTTAAAGCTAGAACTTTTTAGTATGGAGAGTATAGCATTGAGCAAATGTGACAATGAAAACTTAAAAACAAACTTATCCTACCTCTAGACTCTTCAATTTGTAAGAGAAAAAAAAATAGCCTCCACTTGAGAGGACCGCTGGGTAGGGACAAAGTTCTTAAGATATGTCTATATTTCAGATACAATAAGAAAGTGAAGAGAACATTCCTAGAAGATATTTAGAATATAGACAAATTTACTGATGTCATACTGAGCTCCTATGAGGGCAGAGAAAAGCTCTGGGAAGGAGTGAGAAATTTAGTTACATTACAGAATATACAAACCATTTGAGATCAAAGTCCTGGAAATGGTGGATGATCTGATGTGGGAAAACAGTCATATTAAATTGCTTCTGATGGTCTTTTAGGGGAGATGCATGATCAATTTTCGAGTCTTCCTGGGATGGTCACTGAGGCTGTTTATTGGGGTCACACATGGCAAAATGTGGTTGGGATTTGAGGATTCATTTTGGTAGGCCTGGGATTAGCCATGAGATATTTTGCTGAGTAAAAGTTTTATCTTCATGGTACTGGCCCATGATCATGACATAAAATTAGAAGTATTATTTGTAATTATGGTTCCAAGGGGAACTCGAGGCAGTTTATACCAGCTTGTTAGCATTGTTTATTGATGACACTGGGGCTGGTTATGTAGCAAGAGTACGCCTATGTAAGCAGTAGGGTATAAGAAGCCTTAGCCAAGACTCAATTTTGGCCTCCCTTGTTTCAAGGTGCTTGTTGTATTTTCCTCTAATTTGGTTTTGAAGTCTCTCTCTTCAGAGTGGCCATCAACCAAGATAGCCACTTTCTAGGAAACCCCTGACCTGGAAAACATGTAGGTTTCGGTGTGTCAGTCACACACAAGATGCTGAACATCAAATCACATGGAATAATGAAAGCAGTTTTCTTACTCACAGCTTCAGAGCAAAAAAGGGCAGCATACCTCGCAGGATCAACAAGAAGGTGGGGAGGGGCCAGGACATGTACCTTCAACCAGCAGGTAGAGAGTAAGAGAGAGAGAACTAGGGGTCTGTGGGCCAAAACAAAACCTTTACAGGGGTCCAGGGCATTACCTAAAGAGATTTCCCTCAGTTCTAATTGCTAGGTTTAAAGCAAGCGGGTATGAGTTCCAGGAGGTCATGCCGTGACTGCAAGGTGGTTACTGTGGCATATCCGCATGGTCCATGCAGGGGTTGGGGGTCAGTGACCACATCAACTAGGTTATATTCAGCTATCTCATATGGAGGTGGTTACCAGCAGGCAGTTGTATAAGGCAGATATCTGGACCAACCACACTGAGGAACTGGGAAGAGTTAGAGAACTGGAAACTGTCAAGGGTGACCAAGCCCTGTGCTGGTATGAGAATGTTAAGCTTATATCCAAAATGGATGCCAAGGAATCATAAAATCATAAGAATTTCCTGTAATGCTTCATGCATGATATGGTTTGGCTGTGTCCCCACCCACATCTCATCTTGAATTCCCACATGTTGTGGGAAGGACTTGCCTGGAGGTAATTGAATCGCCAGGTCTTGCCCTTGCTGTTTACCTGATAGTGAATAAGTCTCACGAGATCTGATGGTTTTAAAAAGGGATGTTCAACTGTACAAGCTCTCTCTCTTTGCCTGCTGTCATCCATGTAAGATGTGACTTGCTCCTCTTTGCCTTCCACCATGATTGTGAGGCCTCCCCAACCATGTGGAACTGTAAGTCCACTAAACATCTTTTGTAAATTGCCCAGTCTCAGGTATGTCTTTATCAGCAGCATGAAAACTGACTAATACAATACTCCTGTTGGTGGTTCCTGATCTGAGAGAAAACACATTGATGTGGTCCTGCAGAGGCAAGACAGTTAGAGCTTGTGCTCAATGTCCCTGAACCCCTAATTGTGAGCCAGCCTTTGACTGGGAAGCATATGTTTACTTTAATATCATGGTTCCATTGCACCCTTTTCCTGCAATAATCTGCGGATGAACAGCATTATTATTTTAGATCCTGTGAATCTTCTTTGGCAATCAGCCCTGTTTGACTACCACTGTCAGTGGGTGGATGGTAATCTTACTAGATTTATGAGCTCCCTGAAGTACTCTTGAGAGCAGTGTGAAGGGGTGGTAGGCTGAATAATGGTTCCCAAGAAAAACCAGGTCCTAAACCCTGGAACTTGAGCATGTTACCATGTATGGCAAAACAGACTTTGCAGATGTAATTAAATTAAGGATTTTGAAATGGAGAGATTATCCTGGATTAGCCAGGTAGGCCCAATGTAATCACAATAGTCCTTTGAAGAGAGAGGCAGAGGGAGATTTTACTACAGAAGAAGACAATGTGACTCTGGAAGCAGAGGGAGGAAAGACAACTGATGCAAGAAAGGGGTCACGAGCCAAGGAATGCAGGCATATCCAGACGCTTGAAAAACCAGAGCACAAATTCTCCCCTAGAGCTTCCAAAGGAACTTGCCTGGTGACACCTTTCAGACTCATTTCAAGCTGGGCCTCTAACTGTAAGAAAGTAAATTTCTGTTGTTTAATGCAAGTAAGTTTGTGGTAATTTGTTACAGCAGCCACAGGAAACATGAAGCTAACATATAGCATTTAGCAGACTTCTTTTTAGACTTCAGATGATGGTATTACCGTGGAAGGAGGGTGTCCTCAGAAAGACTTGGAGCTCTGAAGACCACCAGTAAAGCCTTCTGTGCATGCTGTCACAGATGCACTATTGACCTAATAGAAAATGTGTCAAAGGACTAGAACAAGCAACTCAAGAAGACATTTTAATCACCAATAAGCAAAGGAAGAAATGTTTTCCCTGGTGATAATCACTATTATCAAAGTGTGATTACATTTCCAATTAACTGAAAAAATTTAGCATCAGTTACGGCAAGCGTTGGCATGGAGGAGAGGAAAGAAGAACGTTTATGTTTTGTCAGTGGGAATGCAGGTAAGTACCATCAGAGCAGTTTGCTGCAGGAATTTCACTTCTAACTATCTAATCTGGAGTAATATGAGCTTGAAGTGACATATTTGTACACACTGAGCATAACTTTGTTTTAATTAAAACAAAGATGGGAGAAAGCACAACATTTATTCAATAGAATGTGTAAATTAATTGTGATTTATTTGTACAACATAAATACTATATATATGTTTGAAATGGGTATTTTAGATTAAATTTATCAACAGGAACATGTTTCAAAAGTGCAGTGATGACACAGCATGGGTAGTGATGGATGCGTTAATTTGATTATCTATATGATGTATATATACATCAAATCATCGTGTATACCTTGAATATATATAACCTTTTTTCATCAATTAAATACTTTTTCAAAACAGAAAAGCATGCAATGTTAGATGAAAAATCAAGTTGTAAACTATATGCACTTTAAACAAGACACCAGAAGCACTGCCCTTAAAACACTAATAAATTAGATATAATCAAAATTAAAACTTTCTGCTCATCAAAAGCCACAGTTAAAGGAGCAAAAATAATCCACCAATTGGAAGAAGGCATTTGTAAGGCATATAAGTGACAAAAAGTAGAGTCCAAACTATTTCAAAATCCTTACAAATCAGTAAGAAAAAGCATAACAACCCAATTTTTAAGGGGCAAAATAATCTACTAAGCACTTCCTGAAAGAGAACATCCAAGTGGCTATCAAGCACATGAAAAGATGCCCAAAGTTAATGACTAGGTAAGTGCAAATTAAAACAATGTGACACCACTACACATTAACCAAAATGGTTAAAATTAAAAAGATGTCAGACAATACCATGCTTTGATAAGTACGTAGAGCAGCTAGAACTTTTAGACATTGGTGATGAAAATATCAGCAAACGTGCAACATAAGCTTACTCTATGACCTAAAAGTTCCACTCCTGGTTATACACTCAAGAGAGTAAGTGGATATGTCTATAAAGACATGCAACTTATTCATATGGAAACCACACAAATATCTAACAACAGTAGAATGGATACATACACTGTACATACTCTTACAATAGAATACATTATGCAGTAAGAATGAACCACTACAACTCACAACATGATTGAATCTTACAGATCAAACATTCAGCAAAAGAAGCCAGACACAGGCCAGGCACGGTGGCTCACAGCTGTAATCCTAGCACTTTGGGAGGCTGAGATGGGAGGATGGCTTGAGCCCAGGAGCTTGAGACCAGCCTCAGCAATGTGTCAAAACCTCATCTCTACAAAAAATAAAAAAGTTAGCCAGGTCTGGTGGTGCACACCTGGGAGGCTGAGGTGGGAGAATCATGAGCCCAGGAGGTCAAGACTGCAGCGAGCTGTGATTGAACCACTGCATTCTAGCCTGGGCACCGCAGTGAGCCCCTGTCTCAAAATGTAAATAAATTCATTAAATAAATAAGTAAATAATAAATTTAAAAATAAAAAAAATTCAGGCCAAAGGTCTTCTTTTTCAATTTATTTTTATAAAATACAAAAAGAAGTCAGACATAAAAAGGTACATACTGATGATTTTATTTATATAATGTTTTAAACAGGCAAAACTTATCTATTGTGATAAACATCAGAATAGTTTTTACCTTGAGGAATGAAGATGGTCTGTGAAGAGGCACATGGAAACTTTCTTCAATAATGGTTCACACATGCAAATTTACAGAATAAGATGCCATTTATGGACATTTTAAAACTTGAAAACAACAGTAAATATATGTAGATGTAGACACATTGTAAAAGTACAAAAAATATATAATAACCATTCCCACCAACTCCAGGAAAATGGTAATTTCTGGAGAGGGAGGGTGAAAAGTTTGGTCTAGGGAGGGCAGACTTTAATTTAATTTGCTTTGAAAAGAACAATCTGAAGCAAAAATATCAAAGAGTTAACAGCTTCATCAATCTTGGTTTTGAATATATAAATGACAGCACATACAGGCTCTATTTTAGTGTTTTTAAATATTTCATAATTAATAAATTTTTATTTTAATGTCAATGATAAGAAATTTCTGCGGATCAAAAGTTAAAACAAACCCATACCAATAGTTCTAATTCACATTAAATGAAGCTGCATTTTCCTGGTGCCCAAAGGTACAACTCTTCTTCATAAAGCCTTCCCTTCCTCAGGGTGTTCAGCCCAGATTGTTGTTAGCTGTCCATTGCCAAAAGACTGTATCAGTGGGACAGGAAGCCATGTCTCCTGTGTTTTCAAATCCATCTTGGGCTACAAAATCATCACAAACGTGGTTTTATAGCCTCCAGTTTCATATTAGAAAAGCTTAGACTTTGGCAAAATTAATTAGTACTGGAATTGGAACCTCAAGCTCCTAAAATTGGTTAGTTACACTAGAAAATATTCTCCAATCTCAAGATGCAGTTCTCCTTCTGTGCCAATCTAACTGAGCAGCATCTTGACCTGTTCTGGGAGCAGTAGCTGTGTGGGGCATCACTGGTTATGATAGCTCAGCAGCCCTGGAAACCTCAGGGTCAGGCAAAACTGACTTCCTTCTCTTTCATCTTCCATTACCTACCTAACATAATGGAAAATCACATAGAAACACTTTTTTTCTATTATTCCTCTTGAATAATAATAAGGCCTTACTGTTTAGGCCTTAATTCCTTAAGCAAAAGAAAAAAATTGTCAGATCTTTTGAAAACATATTTGTAGTCTTTTATTATAAAAATTTTGTTTGAATTCTCCTTTACAGAAAGCCCTTCTGTTCAAAAACAAAAAAAGATATTTGATTATTAAACAGAGGCAGTAATTTCTGTGTTTGTTAACCCTTGACTTTCACTGTGACTCAAGTTGCTGGAACAGAAAAGATGGGATAACGAATGAGTAAGAAGACACATGGGATCTGGAGCAAGTTATTACCTACAGGTGTTGAACATGCATGACAGTGATGTGGCTGCATTAAAAAGCCCCAACGTATACACAGATAAAAGAGTTTTTTCACTGTGTAGGCTTTGTAAAAACAGCTTTGTTCAGGTATAATTTACATGCCACAGGATAAGCGTGCATTGATGATGATATTTAGTAAATATATAGCATTGTACAATCATCACAATCCAGCTTTTGAACACTTCCATCACTCCAAAAGGTTGCCTCTTGTCCACTTGCCGTCAATCTCTGTGTCTACCTGCTGCCCACGCAACAACTGCCCTGAATTCTGTGTCTGCAGATTTGTCCCTTCCCCAAACTCACGTACATGGAATCATACAATCTGATGTTTCCTGTGTCTGGAATCTTTCACTTACAGTGTTTTTCAGGATCACCCATGCTGGAGCATGTATCAACAGTTCATTCCTTCTTATTTCTGAGTAGTATTTGAGTGCATGGATATACCACATTTTGTTTATCTATTCACCAGCTGATGGACTTTTGAATTGTTTCCAGTTTTTCATTATCATGAAAAAATGCTATGAATATTTATTTGTATACAAATCTTTGTGGGAATACGTTTTTATTTCTTTTGGGTAGATATCTAAGAGTGGAACAACTGAATCAGATGGTGTGTGTCAGCTTAGTTTTTAAGAAACTATAAAACTGTTTTTCAAAATGGCTATATATCATTTTACATTTTTAGCAGAAATGTAAGAGTATTTCCCTTTCTCTACGTCTTTGCCAACAATTGATAGATATTGTCAGCCTTCTTCATTATAGCCATTCTAGTGGTTGTAAAGTGGTATCTCATTGTGATTTTATTTTACATTTTCCAAATGACTGACATAGGTGCCCACACATGGGAGGTATTATCCCGGCCCCACTTCATAATCACGATAAGAAACCTAAATCAAAGTGCTTTCCTTGCCATCTCCAGCCGTTTCAGACCTCCTTGAAGAGTTGTCCTGCTCACCCATGATCTCCAGCTTTTCGTTCCCATCCTATTACTTTCAATCTATTTTGTATTTTCCAATCTCAGGTCTGCCTCCTGTAGATAGCATAGAGTTGGTTCATGTTCTTTTATTCAGTCTGACTGACAATTTCTGCTTTTTTATTGAATTAGTTAATCAGTTTACATTTAATGTTATTATTGATATAGTTGGAATTATGTCCCTCATTTTATTTTTTGTTTTCTGCATTTCTCATGTCTTTTTTATTCCTCTGTTTCTCTTCTACTGCTTTCTTTTGCATTAAATGAGCCCTTTAATTTTTTTGCAATTATTTTTTCCCTCCATGTTTTATTGTGGGTAGTTTTACTGCCATGTCTTCAAAATCATTAGCATTAACTTCTGCAATATCTAGTCTGTTATTAATCCCATTTTGTACATTTTGTATCTAAAGCATTGTAGTTTTCATCTTTAGACATTTGATTTGGTTGGTTTTTATCATCCGTTGCTCTACGTAACTCTTAAATAGAATACTGTTATAATAATTGCTTAACGTTCTTCACTTCTAATTCTGATGTTGTGTCTGTTCTGGGATAGTTTCAATTGATTTCTTTTTTCCTCATGATGGTCATATTTTCTTGCTTCTCTTTGTATCTTTTAATTTTTTATTGGATTTTAGACATTATGTATTTTACCTTCTTGGGTGATCAATATTTTTGCATCCTTATAAATATTCTTGAGTTTTGTTCTGGGATTCAGTTAGGTTATTCAGGAACAGTTCCGTTTTTTGATTCTTGTTTTAAAGATTGGTTAGCCGAAACCAGAGTACTCTAGGTACTTTACCCAGGGTCCCATAAATCATGAGGTTTCTCAGGCTGATTGGTGAAAACCAAGCATTATTTCTGGCCTCGTGTGAGTGCTGAACACTGTTATCACTAATCCTTTTAAATTGTTCTTTCTCTAGTCTCAGGTAGTTTCCTTAAATAATTGCATTGATTGCTATTGTACTGAATATTTGAGAAGACTCCTCTGCAGATCTCCAGGGTTGTCTTTCTGTTTACTTCTCTGCTTTCCAGAGCTTTGTGCTGTGACCTCTATCTGCCTTAATTTCCCTAGACTCTCAGTTTCACCTTAACTAATGGAGTCCCCCAGACTCTGCCTGGGTTCCCCTTCTCTGTGCCATAGTCTGGAGACTCTCCCAAGGCAGGAAGCAGAGACAGCTGTACAGCTTATCGGAATCGTGTCCCATCTTTCAGACGTCATTGTCTTTCAATGCATATTATCCAGTATCTTGAAAACTATTGTTTTATATAACTGGTCTAATTTTTTGTTTTCTTCTGCTATGTCATTTTAGGTGAGAGAACAAATTTAGTCTCACTTACTACATTTTGGCCAAAAGTGGAAATTTCAGTTGATTTTGTAACTACATTTTTGGGTTTTTCTTTTTATTGGTTATTCTAGAGATTACAATATGCCTCCTAAATTATCAAAAATTAATTCTGGTTAATATTGACCTAATTCCAGTTAAACACAGCAATTTTGCTCCAGTATAACTTCATTTTCTCTCCCCTCCTTGTCCTAATACTATCACATATATTGCACATATATGTGTGATGAGCCCAACAATACAGTGTTATAATTATTGCCTTATGCAATCTATTTCTTTTTAAAAAAAGAAGAGAAATAAAAAGAAAAAATATATTTATACAGCCTTTTATGTTTATCCACATATTTATTATTTAAGGTACTCCTCATTTTTCCCTATGGATTTAAATTACCATCTGATAACCTTACTGCCTTAATGACCTCCTTTACTATTTCTTATAAGACAAGACTGCTAGCAAAAAATTCTTAGTTTATTTTATTTTGTTTTTGTCTTTAATTCTGAAAATATCATGATTTTGCCTTCAGAATAAGAATATGAAGTTCTTATTTTTATTCTATCAACAGTTGAGCAATGTCATTTCATTGTCTTGATTTTTCATAGTTTCTGATGAGAAGTTAGATATTAATCACATTTTTCCCTAGTGTCCAATGAGTAATTTTTTTCCTGCTGCCTTCAATATTTTCTCATTGTCTTTGTTTATCAACAGTCGACCATGACATGTCTTGGTGCGGATCTCCTTGTGTTTATTTTACCTGCGGTTAATGGTGCCTCTTAAATCTGTGGATTAATATTTTTTATCAGATTTGGGAATTTTAAAGCCATGATTCCTGTAAATTTTTTTTTCTGCTTCTTTTTCTCTCTTTCAGCACTCAATATATACATATGGCATATATCCCATTTTCTGCATATGCCACATTTTCTTTTATCCATTCATCTGTCAATGGACATTTAGGTCATTTCCAGATCTTGGTTATTGTGAATAATGTTGCAATGAACATCAACTTGCAAATATCTCTTTGGGATTCTGTTTCAATTATTTTGGATAGAAGTGGGATTGCTAAATTATATGGTAATTATATTTTTACTTTTTTGAGAATGCTTCATATTGTTTTCCATAGTGGCTGCATCATTTACATTCTCATCAACAGTTCACAAGGGTTCCAATTTCTCTACATCCTTGACAACATTTGTTATTTTGTTTCATTTTCATTATTTTTTATGTCCATCTTAAGAGGTGTGAAGTGATGTCTCATTGTAGTTTTGATTTACATTTTCCTGATGATTAGTGATGTTGAGCATTATTTTTACATTCCTGTTGGCCACTCGTATGTCTTCTTTGGACAAATAATTTATTCAAGTCCTTTGTCTATTTTTTAATTACTCATTATATGTGTGTGTGTATGTGTGTGTTGTGCACTCATGCATGACGATGTAGGAGTTCCTTGGATATTTTGGATATTGGGATACCCAAATTCAGTAATATAAGAATATATTACATATCCCAAAGGATACATTGATCTCTCTTATCAGATATATGGCTCACAAATATTTTCTACCATTTAGTAAGTTGCCAATATGGTCTGGCTCTGGGTGCCCACCCAAATCTCATCTTGTAGCTCCCATAATTCCCACTGTTGTGGGAGGGACCTGGTTGGGAGATACTTGGATCATGGGGGTGGATCTTTCCTATACTGTTCTTGTGATAGTGAATAAGTCTCATGAGATCTGATGGTTTTAAGAATAGGAGTTTCACTGCACAAGCTCTCTTTCTCTTTGCCTGCTGCCCCTTGCCTCCCACCATGATTGTGATGCCTCCCCAGCCATGTGGAACTGTAAGTCCATTAAACCTCTTTTTCTTCTCAGTCTTGGGTATGTCTTTATCAGTAGCATGAAAATTGACTAATACACTAAATTGGTACCAGAAATGGGGTGCTGCTGAAAAGATACCTGAAAATGTGGAAGTGACATTGGAACTGGGTAATAGGCAGTGGTTGGAACAGTCTGGAGGGCTCAAAAGAAGAGAGAAAAATGTGGAAAAGTTTGGAACTCCCTAGAGAGTGGTTTGATGGATTTGACCAAAATGCTGATAATGATATGGACAATGAAATCCAGGCTGAGGTGGTCTCAGATGCAGATGAGGAACTTGTTGAGAACTGGAGCAAAAGTGACTCATGTTATGTTTTAGCAAAGAGACTGGTGGCATTTTGCCCCTGCCCTAGAGATTTGTGAAACTTTGAACTGGAGAGAGATGATTTAGGGTATCTGGTGGAAGAAATTCCTAAGCAGCAAAGCCTTGGACAGGTGACTTGGGTGTTGTTAAAGGTGTTCAGTTTTATAAGGGAAGCAGAGCGTAAAAGTTCAGAAAATTTGCAGCCTGGCAATGTAATAGAAAGAACATCTTATTTTCTGAGGAGAAATTCAAGCCGGCTGCAGAAATTTGTATAAGTAATGAGAAGCCAAATATTAATCCCCAAGACAATGGGGAAAATGTTTCCAGGGCATGTCAGAGGTCTTCAAGGCAGCCCCTCCCATCATAAGCCTGGAGGCCTAGGAGGAAAATGGTTTCGTGGGCCATGCCCAGGGTCCCCATGCTGTGTGCAGCCTAGGGACTTGGTGCCCTGCATTCCAGCTGCTACAGCCATGGCTGAAAGGAGCAAATGTAGAGCACAGGCTGTGGCTTCAGAGGGTACAAGCTTCAAGCCTTGGCAACTTCCACATAGTGTTGAGCCAGCCAGTGTACAGAAGTCAAGAATTGGGGTTTGGGAACCTCTGCCTAGAATTCAGAGGATGTATAGAAATGCCTGGATGTCCATGCAGAAGTTTGCTGCAGGGCAGGGCCCTCATGGAGAATCTCTGCTAGGGCAGTCCAGAAGGGAAATGTGGGATCAGAGCCCCCACACAGAGTCCCTACTGAGGCACTGCCTACAGGAGCTGTGAGTAGAGGGCCACCATCCTCCAGACCCCAAAACCGTAGATCCACTAACAGCTTGCACTGCATGCCTGGAAAAGCCACAGACACTCAATGCCATTCCATGAAAGCAGCCTGGAGGGAGGCTGTTCCCTACAAAACCATAGGGGCGGACCTGCCCACGACCATGGGAACCCATCTCTTGTATCAGCATGACCTGAATGTGAGACATGGAGTCAAAGGAGGTCATTTTGGAGCTTTAAGATTTGACTGCCCTTCTGGATTTTGGACTTGCATGGGGCCTTTGTTTTGACCAATTTCTTCTATTTGGAATGGCTGTATTTATCCAATGCCTGTACCCCCATTGTATTTAGGAAGTAACTAACTTGCTTTTGATTTTACAGGCTCATAGGCAGAAGGGACTTGCCTTGTCTCAGATGAAACTTTGAACTGTGGACTTTTGAGTTAATGCTGAAATGAGTTAAGACTTTGGGGGAATGTTGGGAAGGTATGATTGGTTTTGAAATGTGAGCACATGAGATTTAGAAGGGACCAGGGGTGTAATGATATGGTTTGGCTGTGTGTTCCCACCAAAATCTTATCTTGTAGTGCCCATAATTCCTGCATGCTGTGGGAGGGACCCAGTGGGAGATAATTGAATCATGGGGGTGGGTCTTTCCTGTGCTGTTCTTGTGATAGTGAATAAGTCTCATGAAATCTGATGGTTTTAAAAATGGGAGTTTCCCTGCACAAACTCTCTCTTTGCCTGCCACCATCCATGTAAGATGTCACTTGCTCCTTCTTGCCTCCCACCATGATTGTAAGGTCTCCCCAGCCATGTGAAATTGTAAGTCCATTAAACTTCTTTTTCTTCCCAGTCTTGGGTATGTCTTTATCAGCAGGGTAAAAACAGACTAATACTGTTACATTTTAATTCTGTTGACTATTTCCTTTGTTGTGCCAAAGCTTTTTAGTTGATGTAGTCCCACTTGTCTACTTTTGCTTTTGTTGCCTGTCCCTTTGGTGTCACATCCAGGAAATCAAAGCACAAAAAATAAGTTGTGTTTCTATACACCAACAGCAAATAAACTGAAAGTAAGTTAAGAGAATAAGCCCGTTTACAGTAGCATCAAAAAGGCTAAAATACTTAGGAATAAATTTAACCAAAAAGGCAAAAAACTTGTATGTTGAAAACTATAAAATGTTGCTGAAAATTATTTAAACAGGACATAAATAAAAAGGCATCCATGTTCATGGTTTGGAAGACTTCATATTATTAATATAGCCATAGTACCCACACCAATGTACAGATTTAAAATAATCTCTATGAAAATCCCTACAGCATTTTTTGCAGAAATAGTAAAAACAATCCTAAAATTTACATGGAATCACAAAGGACCTTGAATAGCCAAAACAATTTACAGAAAGAATAACAAACTGGCAGCCTCATACTTCCTAACTTTTACAAAACTATGGTAATCAAAACAGTATGGTGCTGATATAAAGACAGACATATAGACTAATGGAACAGAATAGAGAGCCAAAAACAAACCCAATGTACCAAATGATACTCAGCAAGGGTACCAAGATTTTACAATGAAAAAAGTGTAGTCTCCGCAACAAATAGTATTAGGAAAACTGGATATCTATATACAAAATAATGAAATTGGGCCCTTATCTTATAACACTCATGAAAATCAACTCAAAATGGATCAAAGACTTAAATATGAGACCTAAAGTTGCAAAAGTTCTAGAAGAAAACATGCGGGAAAATCTTCAAAGCATGGGTCTTGGAATGATTTCTTAGCTAATTTGTTTTTCCACTTTGGTCAACATACAAACAACATACAACACATTGAATTCTTTTTTTTTTTCTTTTTTTGAGATAAGATGTAATTCTGTCACCCAGGCTGGAGTACAGTGGCACAGTCTCAGCTCACTGCAACATCAACCTCCCAGGTAGCTGGGACCACAGGTGCAGGCCACCACACCTGGCTAATTTTTGTGTGTGTGTACTTTTTGTAGAGATGGAGTTTTGCCATGTTACCCAGGCTGGTCATAAACTCCTGGGCTCAAGCAATCTGCCTGACTCAGCCTCCCAAAGTGCTGGGATTACAGGCGTGAGCCACTGCACCCAACATGTTTCTTTTTTCTTTTTTTAAAGTCTTCTTCACTCTGTCATATCTAGAAGTTCTGACCTTATGGGCTGTTTTGGAGATGCTCTGAATTCAATATATTTCATAATCACATAAAATGAGATTATTGAGATTAAAACTGATATTGGCACCCCTCCTGAGGAAATCTCAACTGCACAACCCCTACTATGCCCCAATTCAGCAGGAAGCAGTTAGAGCGGTCATCGGCAAACCTCCCCAACAGCACTTGGGTTTTCCTGTTGAGAGCGGGGACTGAGAGACAGGACTAGCTGGATTTCCTAGGCCGACTAAGAATCCCTAAGCCTAGCTGGGAAGGTGACCGCATCTACCTTTAAACACGGGGCTTGCAACTTAGCTCACACCCAACCGATCAGAGAGCTCACTAAAATACTAATTAGGCAAAAACAGGAGGTAAAGAAATAGCCAATCATCTATTGCCTGAGAGCACAGCGGGAGGGACAATGATCAGGACATAAACCCAGGCATTCGAGCCAGCAACAGCAACCCACTTTGGGTCCCCTCCCTTTGTATGGAAGCTCTGTTTTCACTCTATTTCACTCTATTAAATCTTGCAACTGAAGAAAAAAAGACTGATATTGGGACTTAGCGGGGGAACCCACCCCTGATAATTCAATGTTATTTCAATGTTATTTCACATGGGTTCTTTTCTATTTCCGTAAGTGTCAGCCGGTCTAAGAAATAAAGGGAAAGACTACAAAAGAGAGAAATTTTAAAGCTGGCTGTCCAGGGGAGACATCACATGTCGGCAGGTTCTGAGATGCCCCCCAAGCCGCAAAACCAGCATCTGGAATCCAGTAAATATTTACATTATTAATTAAATAATAAATTAATGAGTGTTTTAATTAGTGGCTGAGTGAGCGGTTGAGTGAGAGAACAGGAGAATCTAGAGATAGAAATATTTTCAAGAAAGGGGAGGGAGTTTTGAGGATGTGCCAGTCCCTCATTTTGCCTCTGCCTTCTGCCACAAGAGAAGCTGATTGCAAAGGTGATAGGAGAAAAGAGTACTTATTAGACTAGAGCTGATGACATGCTGGCAATGAGAATGCATCAAGATAGAAAGATTTTGATCACAGGAACTGTGAGACAGGATTCTTTCATTAAAAACTTTTCACTTGACAGTGGCAATTTTAATCACAAAGTTTGCTGACCTGAGGATACCTTTAAGAGCTCTTTCGTATGCATGTATTTTCCTCCCAGTGTGTAGCACTTGACTTTTAAACCCCTTTACTTTAAGAAAAGAAGCTCTAATACACTGGAGCCATTAAATACTGGCTTTTTCCTGTAACTGAAGTTTTTCATTCAAACCCTAAAGAAGAATTATTAAAGTTTTAGAATTTAAAATTCAAGTAAATTGCTAAGCTTATTTTCTTCACTTGAGCCTCTGATTCCATTAGGTAGATTGCTATGTAAGGGGAATGGTTGTGAAGTATGATTGGAAAAGGGGGTATAATTTAATGATAGTGAACTGGGGGGAACTTAGCAAGGCCAGCTTGTTCAGATTCTCCTTTGTGTTTCTGTGTCTCCAGCATGGAGGAGGTTCCTTTTCTCTGGGTATAGGGTGAGGGCCTCTCACATGTGAATCTTTTGATCTACTGAAGGAGAAGATCAGAAATTATTTTCTAGGTTTTATGGCCTGCTTCAGGGGAGAAGGGCAGGGAGTCATGCTCCTTCTGTGGTTTTCTCAAATGCCAAGGAGTCACATTTTAGGGTAGCATGTCTTGAGCCCCATCTGAAAGAAATTGGAAAGAATGCTTCAAAAATTGATAAGGATGATCAATGAGGCTTTTTACTTTCTATTAGGAGCAAAAGAGTGGTCAGATTTCCAGGGTGGATCCTTCAGGCAGTGTAGAAAACTTGCCTATCAATGTGCAATTGTCTTTTTAATAAAGAAAAATGAGCAATAAGTGATTAAAGGGCCACAAAAATAGATATGGGGATCTGAGACCATAGGTGAGTGGGGAGATTTTAGAGAGCCCCCAGCTGCCTTGAAATATTTCAAGTTTCTTAGGACATAGTAAGAGAATTGGCAAATCAGAGAGCTAAACAGTTGCCAAAGATATCTGAAACTTTCATGAAATAGAAGAGAGAGGATGAGTAACATTTTGTGGACATCTTTGAGATAAGCTCCAGATATCAGTTGAAAGACCGAATGCCATCTAGGTGTTCAAAATGGAGGAACAAGTACATGATGCAAAGTATTTCTTAGAGTTTGATATTTACTTAGGGTTCTGTACGTTGTTAAAGACATGGTTTGTGAGCACCCAGAAAGTAAAGCTGCAATCACAGGGAGCCACTGCAGGACCACTGATGACAAGCGACAACATTAAATTAGGGAAAGGCAGTAAATAAATGGGTCTGATCCACACCAAACATGTGACAATGTCTCACATGGGACCCTTGAAGACAAGAAAAAGATATACAGGCAGGTGCTGGTGAAAAGAGGAGACTTAGTTGCCATCTCAGTGACTGATTTCAGAGGCTACTAATTGGTAATTAATGTCTGAGCAAAACAACATTGTCAAAAAAGAGCTGATAAAGGTAGCGCTTGGGACTACAAAAAAATCTATTCTGGTCCGGGCACAGTGGCTCACACCTGTAATCCCAGCACTTTGGGAGGCCGATACAGGTGGATCACTGAGGCCAGGAGTTCAAGACCAGCCTAGCCAAGGTGGAAAAACCCTGTCTCTACAAAAAAATTCAATAATTAGCTGGGCGTGGTGGTGCATGCCTGTAATCCCAGCCACACCCGTGGCTGAGGCCTGAGAATTGCTTGAACCCAGCAAGCAGTGAGCCAAGATCATGCCACTGTACTCCAGCCTGGGCGACAGAGCAAGGCTGTCTCAAAAAAGAAGAAAAGAAAATTATATTCTGCCTCTGATTAATGTTTGGCATCCTATTATGCCCATATTTGACTACCTGGCACAGAGTGGCCAGGTATTGATCACTCGATGAATATTTATTAAATATGGAAAGAACAAGGCTAATAATTTTAGAGTGTTTACTTCCTAGCCACCATGCACTAGAGATGTCAATTCAGTATTATTCTCTGCTTTACCTTTATTTGCTGATTTGCCCTAATTAAACCCTTACTCATTAAATTAGGATGTTTTATATACTATATAAATAATAACTTTCTCAAATATAATATTTTATACTCCTTTTTTAATGTGGTGCCACAATAATTCTGTTAGTGATTATGACTTCTGTTAAACTGAACTAAATTTGGCCAGGGGATGCCTCCATACATTGAGTACAACAAACTGCAACCTAACTTACTACACAAAATAACTGTACGCCTAATTTAGGAGTATACTTTTGTAACAAATAGATAAGTCTCAGCCAATCACAGTAGCCGATCTTCAGTCACTCACAGGAGGCCAAGTGATCAAACCATGTTCAATTAAGGCAAACCTATAACCAGTTGAGCAATCTCTGTACCTCACTTCTGTTTTCTATCCATAAATCCTTTCCGCCTGAGATCTATGGATGGGAACTCTCTAAACATCTTGTGGATCTTAATGCTGCCCACTTCATGGAACATTCTTTTCTCAATTACACTCTGCTAAATTTAATTTGACCAAAGATTTTCTTTTAACAGCCCTATTTTACAGTTCCAGAAAGTGAGGTTCGGACTATGCTATGCACATGCACAAAGTTACACAGCTAACAAATGGTGAAATTGGAATTTAAAACAAAATACTTTTGTCTTTGAAGATTGGACTGTTTTTAGTATATAATGCTACTTCAGCTTAAGGAATTGAAGCAGTTAGAGCAGGCAGATTTTTTTTATTTAATGGCCTTCTTTCAAATACTTCATAGAAAACAGATTTGCATCATAAAGCATGCCCAATCTCCCAGCGGCTAAGACACCATTTTTATTCATTAGCTTCTGTCACCTGAGGAGAGGTTTCACTGAAATTCAGTATCTACCCCCAGGAAGTTATAATGAAAAATGTGCTAGCCATTCAATAACTAAGATGCTTCAAATACCTGCGTAATTCCCAAGAAAGTGAACACTGACTGACTCATTTCTTGGGTAGGAACATTGGAATATGTTCTAGAGAGGCCACCATCATGTCCCTGAAACTTGGGAGACACTTTCCCTTCAGGGATCTTCATTCCCCCTTAGTAAAAGGAAAAGGTGGCACCGAGATACCTTCTAGTTCCTGGAAAAATGTAACTCAAGTTAGGACACTGCTGACAAAAGAATGCATCTGACATGAAGGATATATGTTGACAATAAGCCATTAGTTGGTTGACAGATCACACAAGCCAGAGCAGAGCTGAGAATCTGTCCACTCAACCCAGTCACCTGTCGCCATGTTACAGAGACATGTGAATCCCAACCGGATTTTATTATTGAGCAAATTTTACAGATGGGGAAACTGAGGCATAGAGAAGCTGAATAATTTGCCTCAAGCCACATATTCATTGAATGTTCAAACCAGGATTAGCCCAGGAAGTCTGCTCCAGACCTATGCTCTTAAACACATACTAAATATCACCTCTCAAAAAAGACATATTCCTTCCCCTTAAGGATATTGTAATCAATCAGAAACAAAAATGCAATCTTAAGTCCCTCAACCTGAACAGAAATTCTCCTGGCCAAGAGAACCCCAGAGCAACCTGGAAATCTTGACTTCCCGGCCTAGGAAGGGACGTCAGATACATTTCCTTATACCCCCCATATCCCCCTCCCGCCCTAACTGCCATTAGGTTTCCCCTCTGAGGGCTAAACAGAAAACAACTGATACAGTTTGGCTGTGTCCCCACCCAAATCTCATTTTCATTTGTAGTTCCCATAATCCCCACATGCTGTGGGAGGTGTCAGGCCTCTGAGCCCAAGCCAAGCCATCGCATCCCCTGTGACTTGCACTTATAGGCCCAGATGGCCTGAAGTAACTGAAGAATCACAAAAGAAGTCAAAAGGCCCTGCCCCGCCTTAACTGATGACATTCCACCACTGTGATTTGTTCCTACCCCAACTTAACTGAGTGATTAACCTTGTGAATTTCCTTCTTCTGGCTCAGAAGCTCCTCCACTGAGCACCTTGTGACCCCCGCCCCTGCCCACCAGAGAACAACCCCCTTTGACTGTAATTTTCCATTACCTTCCCAAATCCTATAAAACGGCCCCACCCCTATCTCCCTTCGCTGACTCTCTTTTCGGACTCAGCCCACCTGCACCCAGGTGAAATAAACAGCTTTATTGCTCACACAAAGCCTGTTTGGTGGTCTCTTCACATGGATGCTCATGAAATTTGGTGCCGTGACTTGGATCGGGGGACCTCCCTTGGGAGATCAATCCCCTGTACTCCTGTTCTTTGCTCCATGAGAAAGATCCACCTATGACCTCAGGTCCTCAGACCGACCAGCCCAAGGAACATCTCACCAATTTTAAATCAGGTAAGCGGCCTCTTCTTACTGTCTTCTCCAACCTCTCTCACTGTCCCTCAACCACTTTCTCCTTTCCACTCTTCAATCTCTCCCTTCTCTTAATTTCAATTCCTTTCATTTTCTGGGAGAGACAAAGGAGACACGTTTTATCCATGGACCGAAAACTCTGGCGCCGGTCACGGACTGGGAAGGCAGCCTTCCCTTGGTGTTTAATCATGCAGGGACGCCTCTGATTATTCACCCACGTTTCAAAGGTGTCAGACCACGCAGGGACGCCTGCCTTGGTCCTTCACCCTTAGCGGCAAGTCCCGCTTTTCTGGGGAAGGGGCAAGTACCCCAACCCCTTCTCTCCTTGTTTCTACCCCTTCTTTGCTTTTCTGGGGAAGGGGCAAGTACCCCAACCCCTTCTCTCCTTGTCTCTACCCCTTCTCTGCTTTCCTGGGGCAGGGGCAAGTACCCCTCAACCCCTTCTCCTTCACCCTTAGCGGCAAGTCCCGCTTTCCTAGGGGGCAAGAACCCCCCAATCACTTATTTCCATACCCCAACCTCTTATCTCTGTGCCCCAATCCCTTATTTCTGCACCCTGACCTCTTATCTCTGTGCCCCAATCCCTTATTTCCGTGCCCCAACCCCTTCTCTGCTTTTCTGGAGGGCAAGAACCCCCCACCCCTTCTCCGTGTCTCTACTCTTTTCTCTGGGCTTGCCTCCTTCACTATGGGTAAGTTTTCACCTCCCATTCCTCCTTCTTCTCCCTTAGCCTGTGTTCTCAAAAACTTAAAACCTCTTCAACTCACACCTGACCTAAAACTTAAATGCCTTATTTTCTTCTGCAATGCCGCTTGACCCCAATACAAACTCGACAGTAGTTCCAAATAGCCAGAAAACGGCACTTTGAATTTTTCCATCCTGCAAGTTCTAAATAATTCTTGTCGTAAAATAGGCAAATGGTCTGAGGTGCCTGACGTCCAGGCGTTCTTTTACACATCAGTCCCTTCCTAGTCTCTGTGCCCAGTGCAACTCATCCCAAATCTTCCTTCTTTCCCTCCCGCCTGTCCCCTCAGTACCAAACCCAAGTGTTGCTGAGTCTTTCTAATCTTCCTTTTCTACAGACCCATCTGACCTCTCCCTTCCTCCCCAGGCTGCTCCTCGCCAGGCCGAGCTAGGTCCCAATTCTTCCTCAGCCTCTGCTCCTCCACCCTATTATCTTTTTATCATCTCCCCTCCTCACACCTGGTCCGGCTTATAGTTTCGTTCCGTGACTAGCCCTCCCCCTCCTGCCCAGCAATTTACTCTTAAAAAGGTGGCTGGAGCTAAAGGCATAGTCAAGGTGAATGCTCCTTTCTCTTTATCCCAAGTCAGATAGCGTTTAGGCTCTTTTTCATCAAATATAAAAACCCAGCCCAGTTCATGGCTCGTTTGGCAGCAACCCTGAGACGCTTTACAGCCCTAGACCCTAAAAGGTCAAAAGGCCGTCTTATTCTCAATATGCATTTTATTACCCAATCTGCTCCCAACATTAAATAAAACTCCAAAAATTAAATCCGGCCCTCAAACCCCACAACAGGATTTAATTAACCTCGCCTTCAAGGTGTACAATAATAGAAAAAAGTTGCAATTCCTTGCCTCCACTGTGAGACAAACCCCAGCCACATCTCCAGCACACAAGAACTTCCAAACGCCTGAACCGCAGCGGCCAGGCATTCCTCCAGAACCTCCTCCCACAGGAGCTTGCTACATATGCTGGAAATCTGGCCACTGGGCCAAGGAATGCCCGCAGCCCGGGATTCCTCCTAAGCCACGTCCCATCTGTGTGGGACCCCACTGAAAATCGGACTGTTCAACTCACCTGGCAGCCACTCCCAGATCCCCTGGAACTCTGGCCCGAGGCTCTCTGACTGACTCCTTCCCAGATCTTCTCGGCTTAGCGGCTGAAGATTGACACTGCCCAATCGTCTCGGAAGCCCCCTAGACCATCACAGACGCCGAGCTTCGGGTAACTCTCACAGTGGAAGGTAAGCCTGTCCCCTTCTTAATCAATACGGAGGCTACCCACTCCACATTACCTTCTTTTCAAGGGCCTGTTTCCCTTGCCTCCATAACTGTTGTGGGTATTGATGGCCAGGCTTCTAAACCTCTTAAAACTCCCCAACTCTGGTGCCAACTTAGACAATACTCTTTTAAGCACTCCTTTTGAGTTATCCCCGCCTGCCCAGTTCCCTTATTAGGCCGAGATATTTTAACCAAATTATCTGCTTCCCTGACTATTCCCGGACTATAGCCGCATCTCATTGCTGCCCTTCTTCCCAATCCAAAGCCTCCTTTGCGTCCTCCTCTTGTATTCCCCCACCTTAACCCGCAAGTATAAGATACCTCTACTCCCTTCTTGGCGACCGATCATGCACCCCTTACCATCTCATTAAAACCTAATCACCCTTACCCCGCTCAACACCAATATCCCATCCCACAGCACGCTTTAAAAGGATTAAAGCCTGTTATCACTCACCTGCTACAGCACGGGCTTCTAAAACCTATAAACTCTCCTTACAATTCCCCTATTTTACCTGTCCTAAAACCAGACAAGTCTTACAAGTTAGTTCAGGATCTGCGCCTTATCAACCAAATTGTTTTGCCTATCCACCCCGCAGTGCCAAACCCATATACTCTCCTATCCTCAATACCTCCCTCTACTACCCGTTATTCTGTTCTAGATCTCAAACATGCTTTCTTTACTATTCCTTTGCACCCTTCATCCCAGCCTCTCTTTGCTTTCACTTAGACTGACCCTGACACCCATTAGGCTCAGCAAATTACCTGGGCTGTACTGCCGCAAGGCTTCACAGACAGCCCCCATTACTTCAGTCAAGCCCAAATTTCATCCTCATCTGTTACCTATCTCGGCATAATTCTCATAAAAGCACACGTGCTCTCCCTGCTGATCGTGTCCGATTAATCTCCCAAACCTCAATCCCTTACAAAAGAACAACTCCTTTCCTTCCTAGACATGGTTAGTGCGGTCAGAATTCTTACACAAGAGCCAGGACCGCACCCTGTAGCCTTTCTGTCCAAACAACTTGACCTTACTGTTTTAGCCTAGCCCTCATGTCTGCGTGCAGCGGCTGCCGCTGCTTTAATACTGTTAGAGGCCCTAAAAATCACAAACTATGCTCAACTCACTCTCTACATTTCTCATAACTTCCAAAATCTATTTTCTTCCTCATACCTGACGCATACACTTTCTGCTCCCCGGCTCCTTCAGCTGTACTCACTCTTTAAGTCCCACAATTACCATTGTTCCTGGCCTGGACTTCAATCTGGCCTCTCACATTATTCCTGATACCACACCTGACCCCCATGACTGTATCTCTCTGATCCACCTGATATTCATCCCATTTCCCCATATTTCCTTCTTTCCTGTTCCTCACCCTGATCACGCTTGATTTATTGATGGCGGTTCCACCAGGCCTAATCGCCACACACCAGCAAAGGCAGGCTATGCTATAGTACAAGCCACTAGCCTGCCTCTCAGAACCTCTCATTTCCTTTCCATAGTGGAAATCTATCCTCAAGGAAATAACTTCTCAGTGTTCCATCTGCTATTCTACTACTCCTCAGGGATTATTCAGGCCCCCTACCTTCCCTACACATCAAGCTCGAGGATTTGCCCCAACCCAGGACTGGCAAATTAGCTTTACTCAACATGTCCTGAGTCAGGAAACTAAAATACCTCTTAGTCTAAATAGACACTTTCACTGAATACGTAAAGGCCTTTCCTACAGGGTCTGAGAAGGCCACCACAGTCATTTCTTCCCTCCTGTCAGACATAATTCCTCAGTTTAGCCTTCCCACCTCTATACAGTCTGATAACAGACCAGCCTTTATTAGTCAAATCAGCCAAGCAGTTTTTCAGGCTCTTAGTATTCAGTGAAACCTTTATATCCCTTACGGTCCTCCGTCTTCAAGAAAAGTAGAACGGACTAAAGGTCTTTTAAAAACACACCTTACCAAGCTCAGCCACCAACTTAAAAAGGACTAGACAATACTTTTACCACTTTCGCTTCTCAGAATTCAGGCCTGTCCGCAGAATGCTACAAGGTACAACCCATTTAAGCTCCTGTATAGACGCTCCTTTTTATTAGGCCCCAGTCTCATTCGACACCAGACCAACTTAGACTGTGCCCCAAAAAAACTTGTCATCCCTACTATCTTTTGTCTAGTCATACTCCTATTCACCGTTCTCAACTACTCATACATGCCCTACTCTTGTTTACACTGCCGGTTTACACTGTTTCTCCAAGCCATCACAGCTGATATCTCCTGGTGCTATCCCCAAACTGCCACTGTAAACTCTTGAAGTAAATAAATAATCTTTGCTGGCAGGACTATGCTGAATCTCCTAAGCACTCTCTAATCAGATGTCCTAGGTCCTCCCAATTCTTAGACCTTTTATACCTGTTTTTCTCCTTCTCTTATTCCATTTAGTTTTTCAATTCATACAAAACCGTATCCAGGCCATCACCAATCATTCTATACGACAAATGTTTCTTCTAACAACCCCACAATATCACCCCTTACCACAAGACCTCCCTTCAGCTTAATCTCTCCCACTCTAGGTTCCCACGCCGCCCCTAATCCCGCTTGAAGCAGCCCTGAGAAACATCGCCCATTCTCTCTCCGCACCACCCCCCAAAAATTTTCGCCGCCCCAACACTTCAACACTATTTTGTTTTATTTTTCTTATTAATATAAGAAGGCAGGAATGTCAGGCCTCTGAGCCCAAGCCAAGCCATCGCATCCCCTGTGACTTGCACATATAGGCCCAGATGGCCTGAAGTAACTGAAGAATCACAAAAGAAGTGAAAAGGCCCTGCCCCGCCTTAACTGATGACATTCCACCACTGTGATTTGTTCTTGCCCCACCTTAACTGAGTGATTAACCCTGTGAATTTCCTTCTCCTGGCTCAGAAGCTCCCCCACTGAGCACCTTGTGACCCCCGCACCTGCCCACCAGAGAACAACCCCCTTTGGCTGTAATTTTCCATTACCTTCCCAAATCCTATAAAATGGCCCCACCCCTATCTCCCTTCGCTGACTCTCTTTTGGGACTCAGCCCACCTGCACCCAGGTGAAATAAACAGCTTTATTTCTCACACAAAGCCTGTTTGGTGGTCTCTTCACACAGACTGCATGAAAGGAGGGACCTTGTGAGAGGTAATTGGATCATGGAGGTGGTTACCCTCATGCTGTTCTCATGATAGTGAGTGAGTTCTCATGAGATCTGATGGTTTTATAAGGGGCTTTTCTCCCTTTGCTCAGCACTTCTCTCTCCTGCCACCATGGGAAGAAGGACATGTTTGCTTCCCCTTCCGCTGTGATTGTGAGTTGCCTCAGGTCTCCCCAGCCATGCAGAACTGTGAGTCAATTAAACTTCTTTTCTTTATGAATTACTCAGTCTCAGGTATTTCTTCATAGTAGCATGAGAACAGACTAATACATCAACCATTTCAAAAGACCACCCACTGATATTAACCAACCACCTGAAGCTGCCTTTCCTTTTAGCAGTTTCAGCACAACTAACCAGCATTTCTTCAGGAAGACTGAGTAAGGAGATGTGTTAAAGAAAAAATTATCTTGACACTTGTTAAAATGATAAGGAAGATGCTATTCAGGACTATCTTTTAATAAGGAGAGAAATGAGGCTCAACCCCATTACAACAAGTGGGAATGTGCAGCCAAGAAGCAGATTGGAGGGAGTCGGATGGACAATTACTAAGAGAAGACATCAAGAGCAGGGGTTCTTGCTAAACTGACCTAACAGGATTCTTGCTGAGGGCAGGTAATATTGTTTGGATATGTGTTCCCACCTAAATCTCATGTTTAACTGTAATCCCCGATATTGGAGGTGGGGCCTGGTGGGAGGTGAGTGGACCGTGAGGGTGAATTCCTCATGGATGGTTTAACACCGTCCCCCTTAGTACTGCACTTGTGAAAATGAGTGAGTTCTTGTGAGATCTGATGGCTTAAAAGTGTGTAGCATCTCACCTCCTCCTGCACTCTCTCTTGCTCCTGCCATGTAAGATGTGCCTACTCTTCATTCACCTTTTGCCATAAGTTTTTTGAGGCCTCTCCAAAAGCTAAGCTGATGTCAGCGTCATGCTTCCTGCATAGCCTGCACAACCATGAGCCAATTAAACCTGTTTTCCTTATAAATTACCCAGTCTCAGATATTTCTTTATAGCAATGCAAGAATGGACTAATACAGCAGGCCAGGGTAATCACATCTTAAGAGTAGAAGGATTCTCTCTAAACTAACTTAGCAGGATTCTTGCTAAACTGAACTCTTCAAGAGTAGACACAGAAGCCCAAGGACGAGGCTAAGAGGAGAGTTCAGAGGGGCCTGATAAAGTTTGGTTGAAAAGAGAGCCCTCATTACTGAACAAGGGACAGGTGATTGAGGCCCAAGCATTTAACATGAGCATAAAAGACAAGGATGGGAATTGGAGTGTCTGTATTCAAGAATTCCTTTCACTATTAAATTGTGAGCTGCCCTAAGCAAAATATTCTCTTCTATGGGACCAAGTTTTCTTATTGGTAAAGTAACTGTAATAAAACACAATCAGCATAACAACAGACTGTGTGTGTCAAATAAAAGTAAGATAAATATGTGAAAACAATTTTTTAACTTGATATAAATTGAAGAATAACAGGTTTCAGAAATTTGGAAAGGGGAGCTTTATTTCTCAGAAAGGATTTGCAGCCTTCAGGTTGGCCATTCTGACCGGCTGGGAAGTTTAGCCTCCAGCCAGAAGCCAGAAACAGGCACTTCAAAGGAGGGGCAAAGGGAACAGAAATTTATGCTGCGCAAGGTGGCCAAATATACATATTTCATAAGCTGCAGGATAAGTCATGAATATTTATGAAAGGAGAAAGATGTACATAAGAGCTTCATGCCCATTCACAGGTTCCCTGTACAAAAAAATAAAATAAAATAAAAAAAGGCTGCATTAGCATGATCTGAGGGTGGAGTCTTTGGCTGTCCAATATCAAAAGGATAAGCAGAGGACACAAAACCCCTTACTGTACATGCTCCATGGGCTGGCCAGAACGACTTCTCTGCTTATTAAAAGATAATCCTGAATAAAGCTTTCCTTACCATTTTAAAAAGTGTCAAGATAATTTTTCCTTTAACACTAGTTTCCTGCCTCAGCCTCTACCTTGCTCCCTGGCTCCAAACACTCTACTTCAGGGTCTCTGTAGGGCCTTTTGCTCACGTTTGATTTATCTTTGGGCTTTCAGTTTTCAGCTTTCACTGAGAGCTTTTATCCAAAGCTCTCAGTGGCCATGTGGAACTGACCATGGGAAGGACACTCTGCAGTCCAAGAGGGTGACCAATGGCCCACAGAGGTGTGAGGACAGCCCTGCCTAGATCCCAGGGTTCAAACGGGCCCTGCCCTAAATGCAACAGCCTTGACTTAGCGCAGGAAGCAGAAAGCCACAGTGAGATGGCTGCTCCTCTAGTAAGGGCTGTGTTTATCTTACCTTTTAATTCAAAATGTCTTTACTGAGTCAATATATAGACTGGAGTAACCCAGATTTTATAGTTGGACAGAAGTGAGTCTAAATCAATGACTACTTTAACTGTGAGGCCTGGGATGCATTGGTAGGCTTTAGTTTCTTCACATGTACAATGGAATCAATGATATTTGCTTCATAAAATTATTGTGAAGATTAAATTATCAATGAATAATAACTAATTCTTGAGGGCCTGGGACATACAGTGAGATTCTGGGGGTCTGGATCTCACAGGGGGAGGCAAGAACACCACCTAAGAATGCCCCATCTGCTGCTGAGCTGTTGATCCCTGGGGCCCAGCACGAGGCAGCACAACAGAGGAAGACGTGTGGGTTCTAGGGTCTGCTTGGGGAGACGTGCTGCAGAGTGGAAAGGACAAACGATTGGGTCACATGATTTGGTTTCAAATTCTGAATTATTTCTTTACAATCCAGTGACCTCACCTCTTTGAAGAACTGTATTTTTGCTGGGCATGGTGGCTCACACCTATATTCCCAGCTACTCTAGAGGCTGGAGCAGGGGGATCTCTCGATTCCAGGAGTTGAAGACTGCAGTGAGCTAGGATTCTGTACCACTTTACTCCAGCCTGGATGGCAGAGTGAGACCTTGTCTCATAAAAAAAAATTTTTTTAAAAGAGGAACTCTATTTTCCTCATTTACAAAACTATGGTGATAATACACACTTCAATGTACTTTTTGCATAGAATAAGCAAGTAATATATTCAAAGATGACAGGTAAATGGTGTATAGTAGGCAACCAGTAAATGGCTAAAATTAACAATAGTTATTTAGAAATAACCAAGGGAAAAGTTTGCAGAAATATTAAACTTAAAAGAGCCAAAATATAATGGAGAAACTCAACTCCCCAGTCCTTAGAGGCTGTTTTCAAGCTCCGAGGCTGGATTGGAGATGTTCTGACGTAGATGTAGAGTTCAGGACACACACTAGACCTGCAAGGCACCACCAGCAGGAAAACAGTGACAGGCCTCTCCTTCCAGCACCAATCTATTGTTGATGAGACTGAAAATAAAAATGTGCCTCCCTCAAAAATTAATAATTGTTCAACAAACCCTCTCCCAACACTCTAAGAACTAATTAGGTCTTTCTTATGCAAATCTAAGTTCTGACGAGCAAAATAGAGAATATTTCAGTCTGAAAGGACAATTTAAACAAACTTATCAACCCCTCCCTCCCATGTATTAGATATAGGGAAACTGAGGCCCAAAGAGAAGAAAGGACCTGCTGGGGCCAAAAAAAAAACAATCAAATGGAATTGGAGCTTCTAACTTCCAACTGCAGTACCCATTATGTTGATGGTTACAAAGGCCACCTTTATGATTAATTTTTTCTGGAGCACATGAGATTAAAAGAAAGCTACAAGGAAAGAAGGAAGAGAGGGAAGGAAAAGAGAAGCAGGAGATCAGGTACCTCTAAGAAAAAAAAACTAAGTGTAAGTATTTTTGCAGAGGCTTTCAGCAGGAGAGAACTCCCAGAAGACAGCAGCCTACAAAGCCTCTTGTCTTCTTGTTCCATATTTTGCTCTCTGATTTCATCTCCTGCATGCACCCTTCCTCACCTTCTACTCTGTTGGCAGCTCCCAAAATAGACACTGCTACCTGGCTTTTGCACATGCTGATCCCTTGCAATGTTCACCTAGATCATGACAATGGACCTCCATGTCTCAGCTTAGGCATCTCTGCCTCCCCTGTGCATCCCAAAGGACTCTGGGCTTCAAACCCTTAGCACTTTCACACTGAAGCATAATGATCTGTTTGCTTGTCTTTCCCACCACTAGACTAGGAGCCCCTAGAATGCAGGGCTGTGTCTTAATATCTTTATTTCTCCAGTGACTGCCACTTTAAAAAGTTTGCTTGGTTAGATGAGTGAGTGAATCCATGTCAAACACGAAGGAACTCTTATTTCAAAAATGTTCTTGCTAAAGCCTTATGGGTATCATCTTAAATCCTTCATACATAATGCAATGCTCATTACATTAAGAAGTTCTATCCTCAGATAAGACTTCACCTATATTATCCCATTAAATAAAATAGTATTTATAAATTATGGATGAGTAGTATTCATACAGTACAGAGATTGTTACTATGTACCTGTGATAGGAACTACTGAAAAATAAACATATAACCTCATTGGAGGCTACAAGGCCATGCTGGATTCTTACCTTTGCTTTCTCCTCCTCTCCTCCTCTTTCTCCCACTCCCAGTCCTTCCCTCACTTGAGCATTCTTCTCCTTCTCTCTTTACTTACTCTTGACTCCCTTATTCCCTGTTCCTCCCTTTTCCTCTCTTTCTCTCTCCTCTTATCAGTCCTCCCTCTTCCCATCTCTCTGCATACTCACCATATGCAGTCTGGAAGCCAATACTGTAGCAGTAGCCAGTGGCCCAGGTACTGTACTTTGAATAGTCCTACTGGGGGTTCTGGACTCTGGACTGAACTCTCAGAGACATACTTGGGGCTGCCTGCTAGCTCTTCCTAAGAGGTACTTTTATAATTGATCTGTGATTTTACCATCGATGCCCAGGAGGAGGTGGGCTAAGCAGGAAGAAGCTCTCCATAGCCCTGAGGGAGTATGAGGCTACTATTGGGCTCATAGCCATAGATTTCAGCATTTTTGAGAAACCTTTACGTAAATAAAACACTTGTGAAGGCATATCGTAGACTGCTAACCAATCATAATAGTACCATTATTTTTTCACTACACTGTAAACCTCTTTGCAGAAGGGACCTCTCGCTCATTAATTTTTGAATGCTTAGCATGTGGCTTAAAGTAAATCATACTTAAAACATGCATTAACAAAGGAATGAATGAGAACATGAAGAGTTAAGACCTAGCACGAGCCATGAGTAAGCACCATGATTTAAATGCAACAGCAACACTTGGCCTGGCACTCGGGGCCTTGTATGACTACCAGTGGTCTGCAGGTGTGCAGGCTGGGCTCAGGAAGCTATCCTGGGGAATTTTTGTTTTAATTGTGTGAGAAAAAGATTAGGCTTGATTATAACCTGTCTTTAGTTAAATAAGACAAAAAATGAAAGTTATCAGAAGACAGAGCTAAAGAGTATGTTGTGTTCTTTTATTCTAAGATACGTATTTTCTGATCCAGGATTTTTCAGAATTTAGCCCTAACATGCTCTGGCATTCAGTGACACAGAGCTCCACACAGCTGGTTTTGATGGTTTGTCAGAACAGCTGAGTAGGGTCCATGGGCCTGTGTACCAGTATCTTCAGGGTCTCACTACAATGAGAACTGAGATTTATCTCAGAAAAGACAAAATATTGGCCAGGTGCAGTGGCTCACACCTGTAATCCCAACACTTTTGGAAGTCCAGGCAAGTGGATCAGTTGAGGTCGGGAGTTCAAGAGCAGCCTGGTCAACATGGTGAAACCCCATCTCTGCTAAAAAACATACAAAAATTAGTTGGGTGTGGGGGCATGCCCCTGTAATCCCAGCTACTTGGGAAGCTGAGGCAGGAGAATCACCTGAACCCAGGAGGTGGAGCTTGCAGTGAGCTGAGATTGTGCCACTGCACTCCAGCCTGTGCAACACAGGAAGACTCCATCTCAAAAAACAAACAAACAGGGCCAGGCACAGTGGCTCACACCTGTAAGTCCAGCACTTTGGGAGGCTGAGCTGGTCTCAAACACCTGAGGTCAGGAGTTTGAGACCAGCCCTGCCAACATGGTGAAACCCCGTCTTTACTAAAAATACAAAAATTAGGCAGGTGTGATGGTGTGTGCCTGTAGTTCCAGCTACTCAGGAGGCTGAGGTAGGAGAATCGCTTGAACTGGGGAGGCGGAGGTTGCAGTGAGCCCAGATCTCGCCACTGCACTCCAGCCTGGGCAGCAGAGTGAAATTCTGTCTCAAAACAAACAAAGAAAGGAGAAAACATCAAGACAAAAGAGGACTGCCCTCACTTCCTGAGCTGCACAGGCAGGTGCCTGGATCATCTTCTGCCTCCCTGGGCTTGCCACTCTGGGTTCTGGAGCTAAAATCACAGATTCATATTGGCTGTAAGAAACTACCTCAGGCTTTCTAGGATGTGAGAACATCCTCGCACAGCACTGATTGTCCATGACAGAGGAAGAACAGCCCTCAGGAATTTGCTGGATAGGGGAGGGGGGAGCATGGCCTTGGTCTGACATTTCAAGGTTCGTGAGAATCATGTATAAAATCTGCAGCCAGGAGCTCCTGCCCCAAGCTCCTACTTTCTCGATGATTTGAACAGCAGGATACCAATTATGGGTTCTTTGCAAAACTCCTTAGACCACACTGTGTCTCTGTAGGCACTTACATTTTATTTGATGACAGTGACATTGATGCATAATGGTTTCCACCCCTGCAAACAATTATAGATTCTATAGCTCATATAGGAGAGAGATTTGCTGCAAAATTTAACAGTTTACACTAGAAAAGAAACGCTGTCCCTCGTGTGCAGTTTGTACATTCAAGATCTTATACCTCATTCCTCCATTCTATTCTCTTTATTTTATTAAGTGATCAACATTTAGGGAAAGGCTCTCAGGAATTTTGCTGTAAAACATTCATCCTCTTTCCATCTGGAATACAGAAACCAGAAACAATATCAGAGAGTCACTAAACAGGTAGTACATGCTGTAGTCCTCACCACGCACAGAAAGTGTAAGTAATGTTTCCAAGATTGCACAGCTGGAGATTGATGGAGGCTCGCATTACAATACAAGCAATTTGTAACCATTGCACCAGAGTCCAGCAGGAGGGAGAGTAGTTTAGGCAGCAGGAGAAGCACTAGGAGACGCAACTCCTGGATCCATTCTCAACTCTGCCTCTAATGACCTGAAGTAGCTAGGGCACACCACTGCATTAATTTGCTCAGACTTCCATAACCAAGTACCACAGATGGATGGCTTAAGCAACAGAAATTTATCTTCTCAGAGTCCTGGAGGCTGGAAGTCCAAGATCAAGGTGTTGACAGGTCTGATTTCATTCTGAGGACTCTCTCCTTGGCTTGGAGATGGCCACCTTCTCATCGTGCCTTCACATGGGCATCGCTCTGTACATGTCTGTGTCCACGTTTCTTCTTCTTATAAGGATACCATGCATATTGGATTAGGGCCCACCCTAATGACCCCATTTAACCTTAATTATCTCTTTAAAGACACTGTCTCCAAATACAGCCACATTCAGAGGTACTGGGGGTTAGGATTTCAACCCATGAGTTGGTGGGAGGGGACATAATTCAGCCAGTAACACAGGCTAAAATCAAGGTGTCAGCATGGCTGCATTGCCTTCTGGAAGCTATAGGGGAGGGTCTGTTTCCTTGCCTCTTCCAGCAGCTAGAGGCCATCTGCATTGCTTGGCTAGTGGCCCCTGTTTCCATTTTCAAAGCATTGCACTTTAACCACTGCTTCCATCATCCTTCTCTCACCCTAGCTCTGTTCTTCCTTCCTTAAAAAGACCCTATGATTTTAATAAGTCTACCTGAATAATCCAAAATGGTCAAAGCCTTTTACCACATAAGGTAACATATTTACAAGTCCCAGGAATGGGGGTCTGGGGGGTACAATGCAGCCTGTAATAACCACTTTATGTTTCCAGGCCTTTGTCTGTAAATCTATAAAATATGAAATAGCCAGCCCTGCCCATCACGTAGTCCTCTTATAAGGATAAAATAGTATATTTACTATAAAAATGTTTGCGGCTATCAGGGCCACCACACATGTGAGGTACAACTAATCACAGATGTTTATAGTTTTCATTTCTGTACCCTCTGACTGTCCTATACCTTGTACAGATTGGAAACACAAGTATTTAGTAAATTAAATGCATATAATATTGTTTATTAATTCTCTGAACACTCAAAACAATGTAACAGAAGTGATGCAGGTATTTCACAAAAGCTTATTAATTTGGTTTATGTACCCTTTTCTAGCCAAGAACTTCATTTTTGCTTAACCAGTACTTCATTTTTGTGTACAACAGTGTTTGCAAACAGTAGGTGCTCTCGTCTATGGAACCCCATACTCTAGCAAGCTCACCACTTCTGAGTGCATCAGAGAATCAGCCAAGAAATGCACACAGTCACTGAAGAACCACAATGTGGATCACAATTTTCTTGCCCTTTACCCAGAGCATTACATTTAAGTGACCATTTGAGACTTATTTAATCTTATTTTATTATCTATGCTGTTTTGCTTTTCTGTTGTTACATAACAAACTACCCCAAAACTTAGTGATCTAAAATAATTGCTTTCTTATATTGCATGATTTTTTAGGTCTGGCATCCTGGCAGAATGCGATTGACCAATTCTGTCCCCTGTACCACCAACTGGACTCCCTGGGCAGCATTCAGCTGGCGGCTGGCCTCTTTGCTGAGTCCAAGATGGCTTCATTCTCTAGCCTGGGGCCATGGTGGGCTGGCTGATGGTCTGAGCTCAGCTGGGATCCTCCTATGCTACAGGAAGTCTCAAAAGCTCTCCTCTGTCTCTCTAGCAGTTACGTGGGCTTCTTACCTGATGGTTTAGGGCTTCAGGAGAGCTACAGGGAGCAAAAACCATCACTTAAGCCTGTGCCTGGAAACTCACATGGCCAGGCCTGCAGTATTCTAATGGTCAAAACCATCACTGATGATGTCCAGATTTAATAGGTAGGGAAAGAGACCCATTTCTTAATGTGAAAAGCATCAAAGAATTTTCAGCTTTCTTTAATCTGCCACAAATGCTAACAAACTTGTGTTCCTTTTCCTCTGCTCACATGAGATCAAAGGCAGATAGTCAGAGAGGAAAAGATACTGTCACAGGCAAAGCTGTTCAATATTTTGATCATTAGTCCTACCAGGCAAGTCAACTGCACAGAAAAAAGACATGACTGGAATGATCATGGGAGAAGCAAGAAAACTACCAGAAGGTGACACAGCATTTCCAAAGGGACAGCCACCTGAAGCTGGCATGTGTAGGGTCAGCTAGCCAGAAGAAGGCTGGGCAGCCCTTGAGGGCACAACAGCCACAGTAGAGAGTGATAAGAAATGCTCAGCCACGTATCCATTTATTCAACTTAACATTTACTGAACATCTACTGTAAACAAAGCACTGAGCTGGTCATTATAGACATAAAGATCCTTGTCTTCCAAGGGCCTAGAGGCTCCTGGGGAGGAAAGATGTGGCAATTGTTAAATACAGAGTAAGATGATAATGCTAAGAATTACATTCTCGGTGAAGACCTTGAGTTAGCAAAATTACATTGTACTAACCCAAATTACTTGAAAAGTGCAAATAAATAAATAAAAATACAAGTCTTATATCTAGTTACCTTTGCAATGACTCCTTAAAATATATCCATCCAAGGGAACTTAATTGCTGAGTTGCCCTGATCTGAAAAACTCCAATATCAGAAATCACATTTTTGCAATGCATATTACTATTTACCAGTGGATTTTCCTGTCCCATTCATTAACCAATATGGATTGAGGGCCCATGATGTCCCTGGCACAGTGCTGGGAGCTTGTGTTACACATATGACACAGTCCCAATCCCGAGAGCTTCTTGTCCTATTTGGAGAAAGAGACACAAGTCAACTCCTCACCCATTGCTTTGGTGTCCATCTCATATCATTCAACAAATGAGAGCCCTCTGTGTGCCACGTGCCGTTCTGGGCAGCAACAGACAAGACATACTGAGTTCCTTCCCTCTTAGAATTTATATTCCTGGGGAGGCTAATAATAAAGAAGTAGACAGGTTTGTAAATAATAGGGTTTCAGAGAGCCATAAGTGGTAAGGAGAAGGAAAAGCAGGGGAAGAGGCGAAGGGCACACGGGGCAGAGAAGGTGAGCTGAGGGACCTATTCTAGATGAGGTGGTAAGGGCAGGTCTATCTGTGATAGTGACATTTGCACCATTTTTAAATTCCCTGGGTCAATAAAACTCATTATATACTTAGCCTAGAGCTTGAAACACCTGACATACTTAACATTACAATGTGTAACCCTCACCATAGCTTTCCTGATAGAGTGGCACTCATAGAATTGTCTCCTACTAGTAGAGTAAGTGCATTATGAAGGCAGAGACCATGGCTAATCAGCCAATACATCATAAATGGTTGGTGAAGTGTTGCATCCACCCCTCCAGCCCTGAGAAATGTTCTAACTCTGGGGCCGCAGAGTGCCTTAAAATTACAAGAAAGGAAGACTTGGGAATAGGTGCCCCAAATCTTTTTATCTAAGATTTTGCTTGGACATGTAGAGAATGTGGCAGGGAGAGAACCTACATTGACAGAAATTTGATTGTCCTCCTAATCTGGTCACTGTTTTGTTTATTTGCTGGTTTTGAGGTAGGAAGTGTTAATTAAGCAGGAGCACCTATGCAATTCCAAGGCTGACTCATATGCTTGTGTAAGGAATTCACTCCTCAGAAACAATTCAGGACTTAACCTGGGGTGATTTGGTACTAACTGTCTTAGTCTGTTTCGTTCATATATTTAAATAGCAAAGAATTGTCTGCACTTAGGAGAGGGGACAAGGGTTAAAATTTTGTCCATGGGAAGAGAGTCAGAGCTTCATTCTCAATCACAGACCAGCCACGAGAAATAGCCAAACATATGCTGACCATGTACTATGCAGTAGTTTCTATTAGCTAATTTATAAGTATAGTTTCATTACATGTTTCGAGAACCTGAAAGACAGTTTTCATACCTAACAGGCAATGTAACTTGTTCAATATCACACAGCTAGTAGGTGACAGCCTAGACTTGAGTTTAAGGCTGTTTGACTAGAATATGGGTGTGTTGTTTATTTGCTTCCATTTTACCAGCAGCAAAAGCTGTTTAGTGAATACACAGCTTGACTGCACTTCATTTCTGTATTAGTCCATTTTCACGCTGCTGATAAAGACATACTTGAAACTGGGCAATTTACAAAGAAAGAGGTTAATGGACTTACAGTTCCATGCAGCTGGGGAGGCCCCACAATCATGGCGGAAGGCAAGAGGGAGCAAGTCACATCTTACATGGATGGCAGCAGGCAAAGAAGGAAGAGAACTTGTGCAGGGAAACTCCCCTTTTTAAAACCGTCCGATCTCATGAGACTTATTTACTATCACAAGAACAGCATGGGAAAGACCTGCCCCCATGATTCAGTTACCTCCCACTGGTCTCTCCCACAACACATGGGAATTCAAGATGAGATTGGGTGGGGACACAGCCAAACCATATCAATTTCTTTGAAAATTAGTGATCTGTGACTGTCCAGTTAGCTTTTGCTGCATAAAATACCGCTCCAAAACTAAGAAGCTTAAAAGATGAATGTTCTATTCATCTCATGGTTTTGTGCATCAGCTGTTGGTTCTCAAGGCCCGAGCCAGTTCAGCTGATGTTCACACCAGGTATTGTCAGGTACCTGGCTCTGCTGGCAGGGTGGGGCCTCTCAGTCCTCTGTTTCACCACTCAGCATCTAACAGTGTGGCTCAGGTCATTCCCATGGTGGTCTGAGAGTTCTGAGTGAAGAGGGAGAGGGGAATCCTCTATTAGTCAGCCCTGCAGAGATGCCTGTGTCATAGTCACTATCATCCCACAGGCCATGACAAGCCACACAGCCAAACTCAGTGTCAGTGTGGGGAAAGTCACCCAAGAGCATGGATACTAGGGAGAAATTACCATGGCCATTTTTTCATGCAATCTAGCACACTGCTTTTGTCAGACTGTGTTCATTTATTCATTTACTCAGCCAACTTTAGGAAGTGCCTCTGTGGCCAGGCTTATTCTGGACAGAAGCAGACTTCGGTCTATAGTTTCCAACCTAACGGGAGAGACAAGCACATGAAAATATGGGCCATGCATCATTGAGTATCATGTGAAGGGGGTGTCCTAGTCAGCTGGGGCTTCTAAAACAAACTACCTTAGACTCAGAGGCTGTGAACAACAGAAATGTATCGTTCACAGTTCTGGAGGCTGAGAAGTCCAAGATCTAGACATGTGTAGGTTCTGTGTCTACTATGGGCCTGCTTTCTGATTCATAGATGGCATCTTCTTACTGCGTCCTCACAGGATGGAAGGGTTGAGGCGCTTGGGCCTCATTTATAAGGACACTAATCCCATTCACAAGGGCTCTACCCTTACAACCAAATCACCTCTCAAAGCTTCCACCTCCTAATACCACCACTTCAAGGATAGAATGTTAACGTGTGAATTTGTGGGGAGACACAAAGATTCAGTTCATAGCAAGGGGTAAATAAATTTCCCAGGTAGTCTAGACAGCCAAGAGGTTCCAGCAGGAAAAGCTCGTGAGGGAGGTGACATTTATCTGGACCATGAAGAATGGGTCTGAGAGAAGGAGTGACATCAGTAGGCTACCTTCCAGTTCCTTGCCTGAAAGCGGGGACCAAGCTCTTAACTTTCCTGTAGATTCAATGGCTTTACAAGCTTGCACTCTCGTGTTTAATACCCTGCAAGTTTCTAGAGCCCTCTTCTTTTAGAAATTGTTGAGTTTCTTGTTTCACTTTCCAGCTACATTATCTTGGCACCTGGGATGTTTTCCAGGCATTCAGTTGGTGGAAATCGAGGAGGGAGGAGGAGTACAATGTTTTAAGTAAATTGTTGATCCCTGAGTTTCTAACTGTAACTCAGGTCCAGGAAGACCATTTCCAAAAAAAAGGACATACCAGAGCAAGATGAGCCAGGAAAGTGTTGATTCCAAGGAGGAAGAGATAAAAATCAACAGAAAGGAGATACTCAGGAGATACTGGAGTCAAGGAACAGCAAGAGTCAAAACTGACTCTGAGATTTCTCACTGGGAATAGGACACAGGGGGAGCCATTGACAAGGCAGGAGGGTGAGGCAATAAGCCTGGTTTGGGATGTGCTGAGTTTGATGTCTTTGTGTCACATACAGAGGAGCTATCTAGTCTGTTGTTGGACATTTACATCTGGATGGTGGGGAAGGTTGGAGACTGGATCAAGAATCTTCAGCAAGGGAGATGGGTGGGGAAATCATGGGTCCATGTGAGATAACCAGGAAAGGAAGGATTTACCAAAGAAAGAAGAGAGAAAATAAGGAGTCTTCTAAGTAGCAGAAGAGACAGAAAAGGGACAGAGGGAGGGAAGCACTAAATATAGTAGCTAATGCATCATCATCACACATCTGTCTAAAACCAGCCATGATTGCACATCAAAAGCTCAGGGTTGGAACATCATGAGTAGAGAAACTATGTTAACTGTGATTGAGTAAGATTTCCTAAGCTTTTAGAGTATGTTCTCTTCTGGCTGTGAGTGGCGGCATGGTGCGACGATTAAGAACACTGACTTTGAAATCAAAACTGTGAATTCAAGTCTTGGCAGTTCTCCGTGACCTTGGGCAAGTCCCTGAGCCCTTCTTTGTTTTCTTGGTAAAGTGGGGATGGCTCCCACCTTGGAAGGTTATCCTGAGGGTTACTGGTGTTAATGTAAGTTAGGTCCTGAGACCTGCATCTGACATAGAATAAGTGTTGTGAAAGTGTTAGATATTTATATTTCTGGATATACACCCAGACGGAAAGAAAATGATTGGAACATTGTGCCACCTCATGCACGGTTTGGATAAAAATGGCCAGGATTCTTGACTACACAACGGATGTTCCAATCAAGATGGTTGAACAGACAGGGACTCAGGGATTCATGGCACGTGCTGGCTGGGTGAGGTGGAGGTCACAGTAATATGGGGAGAGATCTATGTGGTGCAAATAAGGTGACATACATGGAGTGTGCAGGCTGGAGAACTGGCGTCTCTCAGGCTGAAGGCAAATGCCAAGTGCAGCTAGGTTTGTAGCATTAACCAGACATTGGCTGAGGTGGCAAAGAAATTAGTCACGCAGGACAATGGAGCCCCTGCAGTGCAAATCGCACATGACTTGATGCTATAAACGAAAGAAACAGAGATGATGGATTTGAAGATACTCTGTGTTGACTGTGTTCATCTGCTTCTAGACACCCTGGAGGGCTGACTACCTCTGCCTTTTTCATGCAGGGAAACTCTGTGAACACTCCGCAGAATTCTGTAACAATTACATTGCAGGGAGTGTATGGAAATGTAGTCTCTAATGAAGGCCGCAACTGACATGCAATGTCAGTAAGTGCTGCTGAGCACTACTCCTTGAGACTTTATCACACACACACACACATACAAACACACACACACACACCTACAAACACACACACACACACACACACAGTGTTACAATGATCTCTCTCTCTCCCTTTTAATTTGTGCATCTGATTCCGCATTGCCAGTGGGATAGAGTCCCCCGCTTAGTATGGCATTCGAGGCTTTCCATGATTCAGCCCCACTCTCCTTTCATTCCCCAACTCCTGTGATTTCCTCAGCTCTGTCCAGCAGCTAAATAGATGCCAATTCGTTTCTTGAGCATGTCACAAATGCTTATACTTAGCTACCTTTAATAATTTGTTTATTTAATACATTTTGAGGAAGCCAATTAATTTCTTCACCTTTTAATTTAATTTTTGGTAAAACAGATACAGTAATACATATATAATGCTAGGCTTTGTAAGGAAAGTACTTTAAATATAGGTGTCTTTCTTATATCACCAAACGTACTGTAAGCACTTAATAAAAATAAGTAATATTTATTTTATCATTATTTCTGTCATCAACAAAATTGTTGTTAATTGCAAGAGTTTTCAATTATTATGAAAGTTAGGAAAATATAAAGAAGAAAATTAAAATGTCTCCAAATTCTATCTTTCTGAAATATTCTGATCATTTTCTCAATCACATATATAAAGAGATCTTTCCACAAATTTGTGAGTTCATGCTGCATATAATTTTTGTAGTTGATGTTATTGTTTTAGAGACAGAGTCTCACTCTGTCACCCAGGCTGGAGTGTGATGGTGCGATCATGCTCACTGTAATCTTAAACTCCTGGGCTCAAGCAATCCTCCTGCCTCAGTTTCCCAAGTAGCTGGGACCACAGGTGTGCACCACCATGGCTGTCTAAGTTTTTACTTTTTGTAGAGATGGAGTCTTGCTATGTTGCCCTGACTGATCTCAAACTCCTGGGCTCAAGGCACAATCCTCAAAGTGCTTGCTGGGATTACAGGAGTGAGCCACTGCATGTGGCCTAATTTTGCTCCCTGATTTTTTCACACAGAATTATATCACAAATATTTCTTTATGTTACTAAAAGTTTCTCAAAAATAATATTTTTAGCTATTTTTATTCTACTTAATAGATTTACTTATTTACTTGATCAATCCCCAAAAGTTGACTACATAGGCTCTTTTGAAAATTTTCTGCTATAAATAAAGCTGTGATGTGTATACTGTTCAAGAGAAAAAAGAAAAAATTTCTTATGCTTTTAGTATTCCCTTTGGATGAATCTTAGAAATTGAATTAGTGGATTAACATGTATGCACATTTAGAAGCTGTTTATACATCCTGGAAACTTGTTTTTATAGACTTGACACTGATTTTACACTCACTCCCTACCCCTGGCAGGGTTTAAAGATCCCTTCTTGCTCCCTCTCCTCCAGCCCTGAAACCTTGGGAGGACATATATTCATACTTGGAAATTATAACCAAGAGCCTTGCCTTTTATGAGAGCAGAGATTAGCCCTTCCAGATGCACGGACAATGGCAGTGACTGAAAATTCTTAAGTTGCAGCTTCCTACATCCCTGCCAAGGATCCTCTTTTCCCCAGGTGGCCCTGCCCGCAGCTTGCATAACTGATGCTGGATTGTGATGGCCATGCAATGGTTAAGAGTACGGGCTCTCAGCCAGATTGCTTGGATCAAATACCGACAACATCATTTCCTCATCCTGGGACCTCAGGGCATAGGGCATCTTGCACAACCTATGCACTTCAATTTCGTCATCTGTCAAATGGGGATAATCCTGGTATCTCCCCTATATAGAGTTTGTGGTAAGAATTATGAAAGCAAATAAATTGCCTCGTTTAAATATGGAATGATTAGAACAGCTGCATTTTCTTGAGTTCGGTTATTTTGTTGCTCGGTTGAGACTCCTGAAAATTGCCGCAACAGAATGACTTTCTAATGGCGCACCCTTGTCACAATAGCTGCAGCAGTAGACGAATGTCACAAGCCAAACAAATTCCACAACTGATGAACACAAAAATTGCCTGCTATCAGACAGGCTGTGCAGTCCTGGAAGGAGAGGCACCTGTGGCAGCTCTGTGGCAAGCCCCGTTCCACTGCTCTTTGTTCCATGAAGCAAGGCTCAGGTTCTAAAATTAAACCCTTCTCCAGTACCCCAAACTGCCATGTGCATTTGAGGGTTTTTCTTCTGATCTCATTACCATAGTTACACCTCGAAGAGTAAAAAATATATGGCTGCAGCTTTTGTGAAATCAGGCCCACTTTCCCTTGATTCTGGCCCCGCTGTTGCAAAGCAGCTGACGGCTGCTCCCCAGAGGAGCATACAGAGATAGCATGTGGAAGACTGCAGACTGGGGAAGGCCTGCCTGCGCCCAGGATGCACATCAGCTTCCTAGCTCAGAGATCTAACTCTGACTGGCAATGAGCCCTCTGATATGACAGTCAGCCACTGGCATGGTCTGACACAGGAGTTATTTGGTAGCATGCGATGGTGGGTCTGCAGCCACGCATGAAGACGTATCTGTCAGTCAGACCCAGAATGCAAGCCTTGCCCTAGGGTCCAACAAGGACACAGACACAAAGAACAAATGCCTGAAGGCAATAGGAAAGACTGGGGCTTGGGAGGCTCTAAAGGAGCACTCCTCCTCCCCTTCCAACTCAATCTCTGAATCACTAAGATACAGAAATAAGAATCAAGCAGATAGAAACCTTTTTATTGATAAGGTGGTTTGAAGAGTTTGACCTAAGTCTACGGAAATGTGGGCTCCTGAATACATCACTAGACAGACTGATGCCATCAGTGTAACACTGGAGACCGCAGGCCCCTTCCTGGCTCCACAGAGACTCTTACCAAGAGGCTCCCAGAATCTGTGCTCCCTGCAGGCAGGAAATCCCAGAGAAAGGGTGGAGTTGAGCATGCCTTGCTTTCTTCCAAACTCACCATTAAAAAGAACTTGCTCTTCCAAAGGAGTTTATTAAGAGGTCAACAGTTTTACTTTAGCCCAGGGGTCTGCAAACTTTTTCTGTAAAGGATCAGATAGTAAATATTTTAAGTTTTGTGGGCCACATATCATGTGTTGCATAGTCTTTCTTCTTTTCCCCCACAGCCCTTTAAAAATAGTTTGAAAACAACCACACACACACACAAAAAAACATTCTTAGCTCATGAGTCATGAGCCAGACCTTGGGCCATTCACTTCTCTCACCTCTTCCTATTCAAATTGGGGTCCCTGAACCCACAGCATCCGCATCACATGACAGGTGATTAGAAATTCAGAGTCCCAGGTTCCATTCCCAACCCACTGAAGCAGACTCTGCATTCAGCTTGATCCCAAGTAAAAATCACTAATCTGGAAAATTTCACGTGAGGAGTTGGGAACCAGTGTTTTTTTCTAATAGCAAAAGCAAAAATAAGACAACAAAAAATTCCATGGAAACTTGTAGGTACTGAATGAAGTTCCCCCTTGGCAAGTTATCCATATTTTTGTCTCAACACATATTCCAAGCTGCCTGAAAATAGACTTTCTCTGTGTGGCTGTCTCTCTCCCTCTCACCAGATACAGAACTCCTGGAGGATATGGAACCTGAACTTGCCTTCCTCTGAGTTCTTAGTTTCTTGGACTTCTGTGCACAGGGGAAAGAGCAGCACAGGGACTTTCTGTGTTTGCTTTACTGGGAAAGAAACCCCTCCATGTCATTTGCTATTAATCTTTTGAGGCCTTAGTTACCTTCTCTGTAAAATGAAGCTCTAAATCTCTTTCTTCCAGGAGGTTGAGAGGATCAGACTCTGCACATAAAGGGCTTCTCCCAGTGCCTGGCTGGTAACCAGTACTTAGCAAGCAACAGCCATTACAAGGGCAATAGGTCTTGCTTGCACAAGGATCCCTGAGAAGGTCTGTGGCATTACACTGGGAAGAGCACTCTAACAAAAGGGGCTGCAGAGCCACTGGGGCACAGGGAGTCCCCCCCAATATACACTCAGTCCTGGCACGGGCAGCTGACATCCGCAAAACAATGATCTCAAGTCCTTCTCCAGAGGTAGGAATTTTGGGGGTACAATTATTCAATTACCAGCATGGCTAAGTCACACAATGGTACCAGAGCCATCTATCATTCCTCATATGACAAAAGTAGCAAGACGAAAAAGCACCAAGACTGAGAGGCTCAGCCCTGTGCCTGCTACGGCGTGTCTTGTTGGGAATGAGCACCATCTCCTGGACACAGTTAGAAACACGTCGAAGATTATCAGAGAATCATTTCCCAGACACCTGAGCCAATGTTCATTAAATGACTCAATGACTCTCTCCAAGAGGAAAAAAAAAAAGAAGAAAAGAAACTGACCATCTAACTAAATATGTGTGATTTATCGCTAAGTTGCATGCATTATAACTTCAGTATATTATTCACTGAATGTAAAATATAGCTATTAATTCAATCAATTCTTCAATAAATATTATGTAGTGAATTGATTGAGTTCCTGGCATGTGCCATGCATTATGTAAGGGGGGTTGAGGGTAACTGGGGCAGGTTGAGAAGATAATGTTTAAATATGACCTGAGGAGGTGACAGAGTCAGGCACGTGGGTGTTTACAGTTCAGGCCCCCGGTTACAGGACACAGCCAGCGCAAAGGCTCTGAGCAGGGTGTGCCTGCCATGTTTGTGGAGCAGAGGAGACCTCTGTGGCTGCAGTGGAGTAAGCCACCCCTGAGGGAAGAGAGGAAGTCAGAGAGGACACAGAGGGACAGATCGCATTGGGCCTTAAGGACTTTGACTTTAACTGGGTGAAATAAAGTCATCAGAAGACTTTGAGAAAGGTGTGGCTTAACCCTACTGATGTTTTAAATGTATCCTTTGTGCCTGTGAGAGAAGATGAATACTGTGGGGCAGGGGGCAAGGGCAGAAGCAGAGCCCAGTCAGGAGCTACTGCCTTTATCCAGGTGAGAAATGGGAGGGGCTCAGAGCAAGGGGATGCTTGTGCCATTGCTGATGCCACACCCATTTCATTTTTTTTTTTTACATAGTGGATGAGATAAAAAATATAATTACAAGTTCTAATGTTTGTTTGCACCCTAATGGATCATGAGAGCAGGCTGCACTGGAGATCAAACATCCAGGCATTGGGAAGTATTGCCTTCGATCAAATATTAAACACCTGCGTATCAAATAGTGAGCGCCTGTGTCAATAACCTCTCATACCTTATCATAGGGAAGGCTCCATTTTGGAAATTTCAGCTTTAGAATGGACCCCAAAGACCTGCACTTTACAAGATGCGTAGGCAACTTGAGGACATACATGGGAAAAAAATGTTCAAAGCACAAGAGTACAAGGGAGCTTTCTCTAAGGTCATCCAATTCCCCTGTCCCCAGAGGTGATCAGCTGCAGAGAGCAGAAAGGGGCCCACAGAGCTGCAGGCACACTTTTGCATCTATAGCAGCGCTCATTCTTCCTGCAACACCTGTGATACTGGCAGGTATATGAAGGCAGGTGGGGGAAGCCCATTCTTGACAACTTGTAACACTGATGCAATGATACTATTAATGATCTCACATCCTGTATCTGCATAAGTGGTCCCCAAACCTGGCTGTCCATCAGAATCCCCTGTGGATTCTGGAGGATCTGTGCTATTTAAAATACAGACTTCCTGACCCATCCCTGACAGCTTTGCAGCAGAATCTCCATCAGGCATAGCAGATACTCTGCACTTACTGATTAGACAAAGATTCAAGGTGATTTTGATTCAAGTAGTGCATTTAGAGGCCACGTGGTTGCCTATCATTTTTTCTTTTCTTTTTAATTCTTCTTTATTCCCTTCTTGTCTTCCTTCCCTCCTCCTCTCCTTCCTTCCTTCTTCCCATTTATCTTTTCTACCAGCAAACACTTCCTAAGCATTTGCTGTGGGCCAGGTCCTGTGCTACGTTCAGGGAGCACAGAGCTGAAGCTGACATCCTCCCCTGCCATCTAGGAGCACACTGTCTCCTGTGACTGGTCTTGGAGATGGGGATGAGACAGTATCATTGTCATGGGGAGAAGAGGTGCTGGGGAGAGGAAACATGAAGCTAACAGTGCAATTACTGTTTTCATAAAACAAAATATAGAAAACTAAGCTCGACAGTTTTTCATAATTAAAAAGAAAAAAGAGTCAGTTAGAATTATAGGGTCATGCTTTTTGAAAGGATGAGAAACAATGAACTATGTAACCTATGTCTCCTGTGATTGAAACATTCCTTCACTCACTGCAATGTATGAAAACATTTCTTATATTAAAGGCCCAGATCAAACACGACCTGTGGCCTGAAACCTTCCCAGATATCCCCATCTAGAAACAACCTCTCTCCTTCCGGAGCCCCAGACCTCTCTCTCTCATCCAGTTATGATAGCAATGCGGGGTATGCCTGTGCCTCCCCTGTCACCCCCAGGGGAGACTCCCTGGAGAAGGAGTTGCCTTGGTCCCAATACTGCACATCCACAACACCTAGCATGCTTGGTATACAGCAGGCCGTCAGAGCGGTGGCGATTTGAGCTCCACCTGCTTTCAGAGCTCCACCAACTGCTTATTCAACCAGAAATAAGCATCTGGTTGAATCCAAACACCACCACCACCAACTTTAGAGTTGGGCTTTTTTCAGCCTATGCCCAGGATACCTTTGGATCCAAAACTCAATCATCCCTCAGTAGAGACTGTAAGTAAAGACTGAAACAGTGACCCTGAACCACAACTAGAATGAAAATTCTTACTGGAAGCCACCTCTGTGTTCCCCAAACATTTTTTCCTTCCAGAATGTAACCCCTTAGGAGCCTGTGCTGTCATTCCTTTTGCTGCCTCTGACAGATACACCTTCAAGGGCAGGGCTGGTCCCTGAGCAGCCTCTTCCCCAGGCTTGACTCAGTGACTTCACAGAGCAGGTTTTCCATATGCAGACCATCTTCATTATTGACAGATTGCATATTTGCAAATTTGTCTACTTGCACAAATTTACTTGTAACCCCCCAAATCCACCCTTACAGTGATGTTGTGTTCATTCATGGACTAGAAGAGAGTTGAAAAAAAATGTACCCCATTCAATGCGCCTGTTCCCAGCTGAGGTTGAACAAGACACCCTCCCCTTCTTATTTCAGCTTTCAAACTATAAACAAGTGTCTTTTGTGTGTGCGGTCTATTTAGTGCCTTTTTTTTTGTATTTTTCGTGCTTTTTGTTCATAATTTTGCTGTTTAAAATGAACTCCAAGCATGGTGCTAAAGTGTCGTTTAGTGTTCCTCAGCGCACGGAGACTGTGATATACCTTTTGGAGGGAATACATGTTAACTAAGCTTCGTGCAGGCATGAGTTACAGTGCTGTTGACTGAGTCCCATACGAATGAATCAACAACAAGATACATCCAGAAAAAGGAAGAGGAAATTTGCAGATCCACATGCGAGGCTGCTCCAGAAGGTGTTGAAGTAGCATGTAGTCCATAGTGCATGATGAAGCTATGGAAAAGACGGGGAAGTGGCTAAATGGATGGATTCATGAGACGACAACTAATTTAAAAATAATTGAAAAGGGGACAGCATTGTTGTGAGACTGAAAGCCAAACAAATTTATGGTCAGATAACCCACGGTCAGGAAAATGTTAAACTCTTCTTGGCTGGTGCTGGCTGGCTCACATGATTCAAAAGGCAATGCAGTGTGAAAAATGCTCAGCTTGCAGAGGAGATGCATTTCTGCAGATCAGGAGACTATGGAAGAATTTTAAAAACACCTGCTAAGTATTATACAGGAAAAGGGCTAAGTGGAAGAGCACAATTTTCAGCACTGATGAGACTGGCTTGTTTCACAAGAATAATGTTGACAAATAAACCTATATAAAGCAAATTTCCCCTTGAAGCAATAATTCAGTACCCACAAATGCATGTTCACGGTATCTTTATAGAATATGACTATCAAGAATAATGAAAATGAACTACATATTTCTGAGTGCAAACGTGAATAAGTCCATCCATTTCTGGATGCTGTAGTAGATTGATTGGGAAATAGACCGAATTTTCCCCCCTTTCTTTACTTTGTGACTTTACAAGTTCTTCCTCTAAGAGGTAGAGTCTATTTCCCCACTCCTTGAATCTGCACTGGTCTGTGTCTTGCTTTGGGGACAGAATGTTGGAAAAGTGATGTGGTGCCATTTCTGAGGCCAGGCTTCATGAAGCCTTGCAGCTCTCTCTCTCTCTCTTCCTTTCTCACCCCTGAGATCTTCATAAAAACATGCCCATGGAACAGAGGCATCCTCAATCAGCCAAAAGCTTGCCTACCACCGGACAAGTTAGTAAGCCTTGGTTCAAACCACAGCTTGCCAAACAAACTCACCAAGATCAGCAGAACAAAACCACTCTGTTGACCTGTAGACTCATGAGCAATAGTAAATGTGTCTTCTTTTAAGACTTTACCTTTAGGGCGCTTTGTTACACAGTATTAATGTGGTAATAGATAACTGACATAGATGCTGAGAAACTATCTCGAATTTCTTTGATATTTTGTCTCAGATGTAACCTACAATCACATTTTAGGGAGACTAGAGGAAGAGGCAAGATTAGCTTCGATTCTCAAGTATTTTATGATCCTAAGTTTTTGTATGTGTTGGATCTGGTTTTCTGTAATAGTTCCTATTGCTCAGGCCTTTATTGCAGCTAGGATGACAGGGAACACACCTCATGTCAGAAATAGGTCTTGGTGGTGTCATCCTAGTGAATAAGCAATTAACTTACATGTTTCAGAAAAATATCTGTGCACATAGTCCCCCGATAGGCTTATAGTTTAGATAAGTAACACACATGTTTCTTCAGTAGTGAGCACCTGTTCAACAATCCTATGTGTGTGACCCCAGGGCATTTTTATCTCTGACAACGGTAAGCTAAAGGAGTTCAATTTTGTGGTATGAATTTATGTGCCATGAATTTAACTGAGTAATTATTCATGCTTGTTTTTTTTTCTGTCAGAAGCCCTGAAATGCCCCAGCTTTATGATGTAATTTTAGTGAAATTAGACTTGAACATCTCAAAGTTGTGTAATTAATTATATTCAGCTTCAATAAAGATCACTAATTGATTCAAGCCACCAGCAGGACACCTGGAAGTATCAGTTACACATTACGAGTGGCCTCATGGGGCCTAAGTGTGATAGCTAATTAGATTTCCACATTTTTAAAAAATTAAATTCTGTTTGCCTAGGGTCAGAGAGTTTACATTTAGTTCACAGTTGAATGTTTAATGCCCAGCTTTAAGTTAATATTCATTAGAAGACTTAGTATTATAGAACTAAAAATAATTAAGAGCTAAAATGTGTTAAGTATATTTCTGAACCTTGGAAGTAAAAACAATAATTGTGTGACCTTTTAATTTCATCTTAGAGCATTTTATAACAAGGCTGCTTAGGGGTCATGTAACTATTTTAGGAACTATAACTTGGTTTGACTCATTCCCTGTTCATAACTGATAAAGGCTCACACATCTTACCAAGTCGGAGGTTAACTCAGAGAGAATTGATGACATCAGCCTTTGCTATGTGGTTCTGTTGTCATAGACATTTACAGGTGGATGGGCACCAGAGGGTTGGAAAGAAAACATCATAGAGAATGTGGGGCTTTGTAATCGGCACAAAATTTTGAAAGTCAAAATGAAGAAGGAAGAGGCTCCCAAGAGGAGTTACAATATGAGAAATGGCATGGAGGCAGGACGTGAGATATGCACATCAAATCTCCATATGTCTTATTCCTCCATGATTTCAAGCTCATACTAGGAACTCAAATCCATGTTGAATAAATGCTCTCAGTGAAAATCACAGAGAAGAGATGTCCACCTGGGAGGAGTAGTGCAGGCAAAGATCCCCTTACGAAATGCTTTGCCCCAGCCATGGATGGAAGGAGAGACCTAGGACAGAGGATCACAATGTTATGTCAGCACCTTGCTTTCTCATTCAAGAAAATGGGATTTTTTTTCTTACTTCTGTATTATTTCATGACTACAGAAGGATTTACTAGACTTATTACGCAAACTTGCAAAGTAGAAATAATTTACCTAAAATGAAAAATAACAAAAGTATTCATTATCTCTTGCTGTATAACAAATTGCCTCAAAATGTAGAGGCTTAAACACACACATTTATTTTCTCATGGATTCTGTGGGTCAGGAATCCCAGCATGATTGAACTGGGTCCTCTGCTTCAGGGTTGTCTGCAAGGCTGCAATCAAATTGTCAGGTGTGGCTCTGGTCTTATCTGAAAGTTCAACTGTGGAGGATCCCATCTATGCTCACTGATGTGGCAGTTGGCAGGACTCAGTTCCCTGTGGCTTTGGGCTGAAGATCTTAGTTCCTTGCTGGCTGTTGGCTGAAGCTTGCCTTCAGTTCTTTGGCAGGTGGAATGCTCCAATATGGTGGTGTTTCATCAAAGAATCCAAGCTAAGAAGGCTCAGCAAGATACAGAGTCCTAGAAAGACAAGGTCAAGGTGATTTGTAACATAATCATGGAATTTGCATCCCATTACATTTGCCTTATTCTGCTTCTTAGAAGCAAATCACTAGGTTCAGCTTACACTCAAGGGAAAGGAGTCACATGAAGAGTAATGAGTATATGTAACCCTCACAAATACCAACAAGCATGAGTACCATGAGTATGTTTGGGGGCTGTCTGAGGATGTGTCAAACACAAAAACGACCCTAGTGAGATGAATCTCCTCACATTATGCTGATAAAATTATAAGTGCATACAACTCTTTTGGAAAGCTACTTGACAATATGTGTCCAAATAGCAAATGTGAGTATTTTATCATCCAAATATTCTAACACCAGGATTATCTTAACGAAAGAGTCAGACATGCACAGTAAAAATTTAAGGACGGAGATCTTCATTAGGGCCTGATTTGGAGAAATTAAGAAAAGGAAGCCACATAGCTGACTTCTGCTAAGGTAGTAAGTAAGTAAAACAGTGTATTAATTTGGGGATGTTAAATCGTAATTGAAAATGAACTTTATTCACTTGATGATATATCTTAGAGAAGATTACACAGCAGAACATACAAGCCTTCCTCAGTCTTATTAAATACCTCAGTGTTGTTAATATCTATACAGTCAAATGTTAATTTGACTGTTGTTAACAGTGTTGGGTTAAGTAATTATGTAATATGTATACAGTCCAACTGTTAATTTTGACTGAATAATTTCATACTTAAGTGTTGGGTTAAGTCACTATGTAATATCTATACAGTCAAATCAATAATTGGAATGTATAGATGTTATGTAATGACTTAACCCAACACTTAAATAATGAAATATTTCTGTCATTCCCAGTCTTCAGCTTTTACAAACATCCTTGTAAGTTTTCTGTGGAGTATAAATCTCTAATTGGGGAAAATATTGGGGCAAAGTTATGTATTTTGAGTAGTATAACCACATTGAGTGTATGATAATATCACACACATTCACATAGAGTAGGGTGAGGGCATGCATCTAATGTGTGATGGCAAGTTGAGACCGTGTTTCCTTCCCAGCTCACCCAGATTCCTGAAGGAAGACTGAAGGAAAAACAACAATCCCCTTATGCAATGCTTTGCCCCAGCTGTAGGTGGAAGGAGGGACCTGGGACAGGGGATCACAATGTCACGTGAGCAACTTAGTTTCTTATTCAAGAAAATAAAAATATATTTTACTTCTATATTATTTCATGACTACAAAAGGACCTGCTAGGTTTATTAACAAAACTTACAAAGGAGAGATAATTTATCTAAAACGAAAAGTTAAAAAGCATATTTATTATCCCTTTTTGAAGGGAGGCTATGCTGGAGGATGCAAACGGAACAGAACAGGCAAAAGTCACCCATGGAATGTGGGTGTTTCTGCACACACAAAGGGAAGGGGGCGTGTCGTTGATGCCTAGATTTTTTTGTGAGACACGCCGTCTGCTGACGCACAGTGGGCCATTAAGTGTTAAGAAAAGGCTCACAGGAGAAAGATGTAGCCTTCTAGGTAGGAATGGACAACAATGAATCATCAAGATCCCAGTGGTGCCCAAGCAGTGTGGGAGATGGTTGCTTTAGGGTTCTGGAGCCTGCATAGAAGGCAGAAAGAGTAGGTAGGTGTGGGGGACCACTTTGTGAGGTCAGGGGAATGCTGACACTGTGTAACCAGGTGGGAAGCATACTGACAATTCACACCAATCTCTCCAGGGAATCCTAGATGCCAAGGGAGCTACACAAGCCAGCCCTGAAACAAGTGAACCTGCAAGCCAACCCCCAACTCCACCCCCACCCCAATTCCACATCTACCCACCAGCTGCCTTGGCTCCTCTAACAAACAGGAGAAGACTGCAAATGCCCCTTACCTCCTCCTTTAGCCTGCTGACCAAAGCAAAAGCACAGGGAGGGCCAGGAGAGGGATACAGAGAGCAGGCCTGTCCCTCTACACTCACATGCACTTGTGTTTGCAATCAACAATTCTGGAAGAATAAAAAAGAAACTGGCATTACTGAATGGGCAGGACTCACTGAAATAGGTGGATGGAGAGTTATTTTTTTCTCTCCAATGTTACAAAAGCTTTTCTGGTCACACTCACAGAAAGAAGTGTCCTCAGCTCACTTTTGCACATGAAAGCAATCTCATTTTGATTATTAAAAAGGTCACCTAAAGTATTAATGAAAACCTCAAATTCTTAACCACGTTCAATATGTCCTTGTGTCTCTGTGCAGGCCTCACCCAGACTTAGAAGCCTTGATTGAGTGAGTAAGGGCTATGATAGGGGTACGCGCACACACACACACACACACTTACATACACATACATTTATGTGCATGTGTATATGTTTGTATGCATAAAGGACCATAACAGATGTATGTGGAGATACACAGATACAGATATAGATGCATGTATGTGGATTTTTGTTTAGTTTTATTTACTTTTCCAGACTTCCGCCTCTCACAGGCTGCTATTTCAGGCCCCACTAGGGTTGGAAGCCCTGGAAAGGAGCGAGGAGGCAGGAAAAGTCTTACCAGGCTGTGACCTGGCACTGAGCCCTCTAGCCTTGGCAAACATCTCTCCCTCTTTGGTGGATGTTTTGTGGGTTTCTCAGAGAGTCTTTTACTGAGGACCTCTACCCGTATCTCTCTTGACATGACAGAGGCCTCTATTCCCTAGACATTGCACAACCCGCCACTGTGCTGGATCCCACTGAGGCAGAATAGGGTGTGGAGGCCGGGAACCTAAGGGCACGCTGACTTCCTGTAACTCAATCAAAACGAAAACCCCAACTTTCCATACCTAAGTAACAAAAGAACTGGAGGCTACTCCCTTTGCACCCCCCTGCCCCCTTTTTCTGATTGGAAAAAGGGGGTTGCTGTCTGCAACCAATCAAACATTTGCATTGGAGGGTAACTTTGTAATTTCAGCCTCTGATTAGTTACTTTCCACAACCAACTATTTCCACAACTGACCCGTTGCAGAAAGCAATCAATCAGACTGATTGTGGGCCACTACTTCATTTACATAGGATGTATACCAAGTAACCAATGGGAAACCTCTATAGCATATTTAAACCCCCAAAATTCTGTAAAGGGGCTCTTGAGCCCCTGTGCTCGGGCCAGCTCCTATCCTGTGGAGTGTGCTTTCGTTTTCTATAAAGTTCTGCTTTTGTTACTTCATTCTTCCCTTGCTTTGTTTGTGTGTATTGTGCAATTCCTTGTTCAAAATGCCAAGAATGTGGACACCTTCTACTGGTAACACCACCACCCCTACCTCCTCCACCAGACAGTCTCCCTGCACATAGCTCTTCCAAGGGACTCCAGCTTCTCCATCCCATGAGTCCACTGGTCCTTGGAAAGGTCTCTCATCTGTGCCCCAGCAGGTGGGAGAGCAGTTTGCTCCCTGGACAGCCCTGGCTTTCTCGCTCCTCCTGCTTCAGGCACAGACTGTAACCTTTGCTCTTACGTTTCTCAGGAATGTTTCAGACCATAGTCCCCTCTGTCCTTCAAACTTCAGGGAATGCAAATAAAGCTTTTCAAGTAGCCCTGAAGCCAAAGCCTCTCACTTAAGGTGAGAGACAATCACTTCTTTGCCTCTTGTTGGGACAAGCAGGGAGGTTGATATTGACAACATTCTGACCCCTCTCTTCAACTCCCAGCTTGCCCAACTCAACTCTTCCAGGCTGGAGGTTGGGGTTGGTCTGTCTTGGCAGAATCAGTTTCACAATCTATTTGCATGCCCTGCACGGGAGAGTTCACACCTGGCTTTAGGCGGGAGGCACTCTGCTACTATGGTACTGCTCTCAGCTTAGGGCCTGTGCTAAAATGGACAAAACCCCTATTTTAGCATCCTATTCACCATTAGTACCTTATTCACAATAACTTTCAAGGAAGACTGGGGGTCTAGACTGAGAGTGAAATATACTTTACACTGTATTATGTGCTATTAGATTTTTTTTAAAATCCATTTATCTTTCAATAAAACAAAGAAAAATTAGTTTCATAAAGAATAAACTTTATTTAACAAGGGAAAATGCTTTGGATACAACTGTACTTTTTAAACTTTATTTTAAAACAGAAAAATTTTGAAAAAGTAAATGTAAAAAAATTTTAATATACATACAACTATTTGCTAGGTAAAAACAAATACATAAAATACTAGAAAGAAATGATCTACAATGTTCAGGTTATGATTTTTTAACCCACTATTTTGTGGAGATAGGTTTCGTAATGTAGATAGTTTATTTTCTCATGTTTTTACGTATAGAAATTTCTAAATTTTATTTAATTTTATTTTCTTATAACTAGAAAATCCAGGTTACAAAATATCCATGGCCTGAAATGGATCCCAGTCTACTATTATAACTCAAGGGACAAATCAGAATCTTTAGGGCAGAGTCAGTCACCCAAGATGAACTTCACTCCGAAACGATTATGTGTAACACGATGGTACCCTCTCTCACTGGGCCTGGAGGCAGATGTCTGCTCCTCTCTGCCCTGCCAGAGCTTTGGTGAATCTATCTATCTTATCTAGCTTTGGGGCATCTATCTAAATCCCTTTGGGTCCTGCATGGCTGCCCTAGGCACAAATCATGAATAAAGTAACATCTCATTCAGTGCCGACCCTTTCAGTCTGGGAACTTGGTCACATGGTGAAAAGCAGGGCTTTGGTAAAATTCCATCTAAACTGTGCTTGCCAAACCATTGAGTAGGAAAAATTATACCAAACCTGGTCTGGGAAGGAACTTTTTTTATTGTTACATAATATTTGCATGTATTGATGGGGCATATATGATATTTTGTTACATGCATAGAATGTGTGATGATTAAGTTGGGGCATCATCTTGAGTGTTTATCATTTCTATGTGTTGGAAACTTTTCCAGTCCTCTCTTCTAGCTACTTTGAAATATACAATATCATGTTAACGATCATCACCCTACTGTGCTATCTATCGTTCGAACTAATTCCTTCCATCTAACTACGTCTGTACCCACTAACCAGCCTTTCTTCATCTCCTTCCCCAACCCAAACTTCCTTCCCAGCCTCTGGTACCTATTATTCTATTCTTTACCTCTGTGAGGCCCAATTTTTTAGTTCTCATATCTGAGTGAGAACGGGTGATATTTGTCTTTCTGTGCCTGGCTTCTTTTACTTAACATAATACCCTATGGTTCTATCCATGTTGCTGCAAATGACATTTCATTCTTCTTTATGGCCAGAAAATATTCCAGTGTGTGTGTGTGTGCGTGTGTGTGTATGTATACATATATATATATATACACACACACACACATATACACTGTGAAGATGTGATTATATATGTATATACACACATATACATATATATATCACATTTTTCTTTATCTACCATCTGTTGATGGATGTGTAGGTTGATTCCATATCTTTGCTATTGTGAACAGTGCTACAGTAAATATGGGAGTGCAGGTATTCCTTTGATATACTGATTTACTTTCTGGGAAAGAATGTTTTTATATAAAGTTATTTGTATCTTTCTTCTTGGAAGAAATTAGAATTTCTGACAAAATTGTTGAGTAATTTTCTAATAAACTTTTGTAGGACTAAGAATTTTCTACTCTTGCAGCAAATTCATTGAAATAAAAATATAAAGCTCATAACTGACTTGTTTAGAAACTATTTTTAACAAGCTTTAACCTTTCTGTAAGGGTCCCTCTGAATCGTGTCTATGAAATGTGCTTTTAATTCAGAGGGGAATGGGTGTGTCCATTTGCTATACCAAGAGAACCGAACTCCACTTTGGTTGAGAAACACAATCAGTAATTTAGTAACTGAGGAATAAAAACCACAGAGAGAGAAGAGAAGAAAACAAGAGGAAATGTTAGGAAAGGGAAAGGGAAGGAGCAAATTATTACAGCTCCCAGGAAGCCCTTGGACCCACTTGTTTGCAGAGGTTCATAAGCCTTACTGAGGGCACAGGATGGTGGGAATGCAGTGAGGAAGGAGATGTGAGAAATCAGAGAAGTGCCCAGAGTCACATCTCACAGGGCTCTAGCGACCTGGAAGGACCTGGGCGTTTACTCATCTCCTGGGTGGAGAAGAAACTGCGGAGGGGCAAGTGTGGAAACAGGGAGACCACCTAGGAGACTGAGGCTCAGGGAAGCAATCCCGGGGAGGGGGGACAGTGGCGGGACCATGGCACTGGAGGCAGGGAGATGGGGCAGCCTTGTGCTGGATTTTGAAGGGAAAGACACCAACCCAAATAATGAAAAATCAGAAGCAACATGGGCAAGGACAGCTGAAGGCAGACGCTTTACTTCTGGAATTTCAAGGTCACTTTGTTGTGACAGCAGTCAACTCTTCCAGCGAACTAGATTGTGCTTTATCATAACAACCTTGTAAAGTACTGTACTTCTCCTTTGCTTTGCTTGGTTTTACATGTGGGTTCTGTTTTTACATAAAACCAAATGTGGAACTTTATTTCAAGAATTCTTTTGTCACTAGCCCTGGTGTAATGTTCTTTTCTTTCTTAGTAAGATTTCAAATCACGTTTTTGTTTGTTGTTTGTTTTGTTTGTTTGTTTGTTTGTCTTTTTGAGACAAAGTCTCGCTGTGTCACCCAGGCTGGAGTGCAGTTGCGTGATCTGGGCTCATAGCAATCTCTGCCTCCTGGTTTCAAGCGATTCTCCTGCCTCAGCCTCCACAGTAGCTGGGATTACAGGTGCGCGCCACCACGCCCTGCTAGTTTTTGTGTTTTTAGTAGAGACGGAGTTTCACTATGTTGGCCAGGCTGGTCTCGAACTCCTGACCTCGTGATCCGCCCACCTAGGCCTCCCAAAGTCCTGGGATTACAGGCATGAGCCACCACGCCCAGCCTTCAAATTACTTTTTAGAGCAATAATAGCAACAGTAACAATAACCGCTAACAAAATTATGGGCCAAGTGTTCTTCTAAGCAGTGCCAGTCACCAGGAGGCAGGTACCACTGTCACTCTCATCTTACAAAGAGGAATTGGGCAAAGAGAGTTGAAGAACTCATATAGGTCCCAGATCTATGAATGGAAGTCTGGGGATCAAAGCCAGTCCTCTAAGCTCCGGGTCCTGTGCTCTTCTTGACCACCAGGCCCTGCTACTTCCCAGCACAAGCCTGCCTATGTTTGTATCCTTGCAATTTTGAAAGAGGGCAAATTATAAATTCAAAAAGTATAAGCAAGTTCTAATTTAAACACGATAAGGGAAAGCTTGATAGACACAACTACAATGCAAATTTCAGTCTTCAATCTGTTTCTGAAAATATTTCTTTTTCAAATGCCACTTTCATTTTATTGCTGTTTATCCTCATCACATTCAAAATTTAAAGGCTAGCGTACCCAGGTCCTCTTCTGATCTGAGAGTAGCCACCAGAATCTGCTTGAACACCATTAATAGCTTCTGTGGGCTTAGCCCTTTGGAAGGTAATGGGGATCGTTACCTCCATTTTGGGGTCAGGGTCTGAGAAAGACATTGTAGTTCCATATTTATCGTGTTGTCACCTAGAGCTTAAAACTCACACCTTTGCACCCAAGAGCCTAGTCCCCTACCAGAAAGCTGGGCCTCATATGGACAAGGCAGATGGCTGATGGCAGGATTTCGGACACCAGTATGATCGTTTAGGGCAATACATTTGCTCTAAGGCCAGCTGTTACCCATGCATGGTGCTGTGGGGTTAAAATCAAATTAAAACAAACAAAACTAGAAAGAACAACCTTGGATGTTGAGTGAAACAGACCTATATTTGCATCCTGGATTTAATACTTAATACCTGGGTCACTTTGCAAACTACCCTTTCTGAGCTTGCCTATAAAATGAAGCTAAGAACAATCCCTGCCTCTTACATTTGTTGGCAGGCCAACTCTTTCTTCCAAGGCCAGAAACTGTATCCCGGAATAATCTTCCCTGTGTAGTCCCATATCCCCATTCAATGAGCAATGCACACCACAGCCAGAGGCCCTGACAGACTCTGGGACCAACCTTATTAATGGGAGGCCTGAGAAAACACCCAGAAATGATATCTATTATTTATAATTACATAGTGCCTGCCATTTTTATGAGATTTTTTTCATATATTATTTAACTGTAATAACGGTCCAATGCAGGAGATACTGTTAGCCCCATTTTTCGGATAAAGAAAGTGAAGCAAAGACACGCTGAATGAATAAGTTGTCCAAAGCCACACTGCTACGAAGTGGTAGAGCGAGTTTTTGCATCTCAACAGTCTGTTCTGGATCTTGACTTTGTACTGCTGTGTCTCTGAATATTGGACTTACTTTCCAGTGAAGTAAAAAGACATATAAACAGTTGATTCGAAAGCAAGGTGGTAGGCCCAGCGATGGAGGCATGAAGATGTTAACTCAAGGAGTCGGATGAAGGACACCTTCCTTAACTTGGTGGGTGAGAAAAGACTTTCTGCAGGAGCCGAGGGATTACATCAGGAGTTCCTAAGCATTAGTGCACATGCGAACCACTTAAGGTATACATAAGATCATGCCACTCTCCGCCTACGCCTACTGATGACCTCCCATTGCAAGCAGCATACAAACCCAACTAGTCCTTCCAGATCCAGCCTTCCCTGTCTTTTCTGATCCCATCATCTTCGACTTCTGTCTTGTCCGCTAGCCGGCTATCTCTCCAGCCTTCTCTGTGTCTTGGACCTGCCAACCTCATTCCAGTCTTGGGTCCTTTGCACTTACTGTTCTTCTTGTTTGGAGTGCTCTCCCCTCATAATAACCACCTTCTGCCTGTCCTCCACAGCTAAGCCCTCTTCAGACCAGCCTCCCGTTCCCTCTAGCTGACATAGCTCCGTTCCAAGCCATTCTTTATCACAGTGCCCTATTTATCATCTTCAAAGCCCTCGTTAGTACCTGAAATTATCCATCCATCATTTCTGCATCTATCTGTCTGTCTGTGTGTTTGTCACTTGTCTCTCCCCACTAGACTGTAAGCTGCTGGGGGCAAGGCTGTGTCTGTGCACACCATATCCCAGAGTCAACTTCGGTCCCTCTATCAGTATCGGGTAGATTGCCTGGGAGCTTCCGAAGGAGGATTTCCAACTGCTCAGGGAAAACTTCCTGGAGGAAGGAAGACTGGTGTCGGGACCAAGTGATATGAATTTAGGAAAGAGAAAGAAGATGTTTATGGCAGCGGGGGGTTGGCCTTCTTTTTCGTCTAAAGCAGCAATTCAAATTAAAAAATAAAATAAAATAAAGGACGGACATCACCGTGAGGTGCTCTGAAGTGCTAGAATGGAGGAGTATCAGACAAGGAGCCCAGAAACCTGTGTTATTGCCCCATCTCTTCAACTAATTTATTGAAAGACCTTAGGTAACCTCTGTCCCCTCTGGACTGCAGTTTGCCCATCTGAGAAATGAATGGTTGGGATTGTATTGGTCTCTAAACCACCCTTCAGCGCTCAGATTCCAGAAGGATACATTTTGACCATCCTTGTCCAATCACTGCCTCTAGCCAGGGACACACACTCAGCTCTGTCACCATGGAACAGATGTGTCAGCGGCAGCAGGAATTGTTTAATCTGAGCCTCCACCTGGTCCCTCCAGTATGCTCTAGGCTTCCTCGCCCTAGAATGTGGTTATTAACTCCGAGTGACCACCAGGTGGCGCCGTTCCCCAAGGCACTGTGCATCCTCCAGAAGGTCATTTGAATGCCCTTGGAGCTTGATGACACGCAAATAACCCAGACCGATGTTCAGTAAATATGTTGGGGTGCTAGCTCTCAGGGGATGAGAAGGCATTGCTACATAACCAGATGTAGAGAAAACTGAAACGTGGGAAAAGCTGAGAAGAGCAGCCTCCTCTCCGAGTTTATACAGCCAGACCTGAAGGGGTGGAAGGGGTCGGGACTGCATTTCTCCGTGGGTGCTCATTCCTGCCCTGTGGTCCCCACGTCCCCACCCGGGCCCCTTGACCCCACCGTCACCTCGTGAAGTTTCTTTCCACAGCTGTGAACTCGAGGCCACGAGGATTTTGCAATCTTCATTTTTGGAGAAAACACAAGGCAGTTGTTGCTCTGACCCAGGGGCTCTGGCCTGCGGGCCCTGCAGCTGTCTCTACAAGAGGCACATGCAGGCAGGGGCTGGAGAGAGGAATGAGCAGGGACCATCGCACTTGAGATTTGTTCTCGCTCTCTGACAAATTCAACAAATATCCACTTAACCCTTCATCTGTGCCAGGTGTCCTGTGCCTCAGGCAGAGCTGATGCCGCCTTCTGGAATTCTCTGACCAGCAGGTAGACAGGTCCATAAAAAGGGGTGACAGGGCTCTACAGGTGACAGGACAGTCTAAGGAGGGTCCACCGAGGCTGGAGTGGCTCAACCTAATTCCCACAGAGACTCGGGCCGGTCAGGAAGACTCATATAACAACTGACACGTGAGCCAAGCATTGCAGGAGGACACTAGGAGGATGAGGGCTCTATCCATGTAGGAGGGCAGTGGGAAAAAGGCATGGCCATGAGAGAGTCGGGGTTTGGAGGGCTGAACATGTATTGGGGTAGCTGGGACTTAGATTTTAAAAGAAGAGTTAGATACCACAGAGGCAGGGAGGAGCCGGGGAGGTAGGAAGCACATAGACCCGGTGTATGGAGTGGTCCGTAGCTCTGCATTATCCCAGAGCAATGATAGTTATCTGGTCATCATGGGGCTTTCAGCTGGAGAAGGAAGGGATCAAACAGCTTAGGAGAGTGGCATGGCTGCACCCTGATGCAGAGATGGGTTGGGAGGCTGCATGGGATCAGACCAGAGCCAGACTCACAGGTAGGAGCTTTGCCGGAAGTCGATGCAGCCTGACTTAGGGCCGTGGCCACAGGATAGAAAGGAGGCAGCAAATGAGGATCACCGCCTGGCAACAATATCAACAGAGGAAAAATAAGCCCCATTGGTGGTGACAATTATTTTTTTCGTAAATCCACAGGAGAGACATCCTCAAGATGTAATTTATGTGTAAATCAGTTTGTATTTTCACTGGCTAACAGTGGAGGATATTTGAAGATCTTGTCTTCCTATTTCTTTGTTCACTGATTTTTTTCTGTTGAAATTGTTTGAAAATCCCATGTTTAATATGACTCGGGATTGTCCCATCTTCAGCTGTTTGCATAGTGTCATTTCCTATTTCTCAGGAGTAGCTGGCTTCAACGAAGCATCCAAAACAAACAGATGAGATGAAGCCAGAATCAAAAGGCCGAAAAAAATGTGATTATGAAGCAGTGTGGGTCGTGGGACCAGTTTCCCTTCACAGTTGTTTTTACTTACTGTTTGCATCAATTCTCCAAGCGGTGTAGATCGCCCCCTCTCCCCACCCACACTCACTCTAACCAAAGACACAGCTCGGACTCAGGGAGACAAGCCAGCCGCTGGACACTTAAGAAGGGCTCCTTCCAAGTCCCATCACTCTGCATCTGCTGGATCCATCTGGGCCCTGAACTCTTTACAAGACCATTGCATAGGCCACAGCGGCTCCTCCAACTAGCAGAGTTCTCCCGGGAGAGAAGGCAGTTCCTATCTAAGAACAGGATTGCAATGCCCACCTCTCTCTGCAGCTCCATCACGTGTGGCCATGTCCACAGCTCAGGAAGGGACAAAGGGCTGAGCCTGGCCCTGAACACAGGGCTCTGTTCTTGGTAGGATGTAGGATCCCAGGGGTGTCTGTGGACAAAATGCTACTGAGAAAATTTCCCCAAAATGACATGACAGGAACAGGAGATTATATTCTTTGAAAGGCCTGATTAAGGAGCTAGTTTGAACCCTGTGAGGATCCCTGTGATGACCTGGAAGTGAAGACTATTGGCTGATAGTCCCAAAAATATTGCCAACCAGCGATGCAAATGACAACCAGTGACTTAAATTATCTTAGCCTCAGGACTTTTATTCCCACTCTCCACCACTATAAATGAAGGGGGTTAACAGGATGGTCTTGAAGTTCCTTCCAGCTACAGTAGGATTCTCTGATTCCATTGAGAGTATTTTTACCAGTAGGTTCAGTAAGGTTGTTGGGGTGAGGACAGAAGATTCAAACTAGAAAACAATCAGCCCCTGCCCTCAAAGCATCCACAGCCCAGGAGGGAAAGTGTGCAGACAGACAGCAGGTGCACCACAGAAGCGATGCCCTGCAGGCCCCACTTTGAAGGATGAGGGGGGACTCCAGGCAAGACACAGCAGTCAGAGGAAACAGTAGGTGCAATGACAGGGACATGGGGAAGAGTCTACTGTCTGAAAACTGTGGGATTCTTCACTCAGGGCATGAGGATGAAAGAGGAGGTGAGGTGGCAATCACACCTGAAATTTTAGGCAGAGTCAGGATCCTGGAGGACCTTCACTGTCATACTAACAAGTTTAGCACCAACACTCAGTCTTACCAGAAAGGAGCTCTGCCTCCATCTGCGTATGGCCTTCTCTCCTCTTGTTTGTAAGAACACTTGGCACTGGATTTAGGGCCCACCCTAATCCAGGATGATCTCATCTTGAGATCTTTAACATAATCACAATGGCAATGACCTTTTTTCTAAATAAAGTCTCATGTGCAGGTTCAGATGTACATCTTTTATGGGGAGCACCATTTGCAGTGGTTAATACTGAGTGTCAACTTGATTGGATTGAAGGACACAAAGTATTGGTCCTGGGTGTATCTGTGAGGGTGTTGCCAAAGGATATTAACATTTGAGTCAGTGGGCTGGGAAAGGCAGACCCACCCTTAATCTGGGTGGGCACAATCTAATCAACTGCCAGCATGGATGGAATACGAGAAGGCAGAAATATATGAAAAGAGAGACTGACCTAGCTTCCCAGCCTACATCTTTCTCTTGTGCTGGCTGTTTCCTGCCCTTGAACATCAGACTCCAAGTTCTTCAGTTTTGGAACTCATACTGGCTCTCCTTGCTCTTCAACCTGCAGATGATGGCCTTTTGTGGGACCTTGTGATCGTGTGAGTTAATACTTAATCAACTTATATATATATATTCCATTAGATTAGTCCTATCCCTCTAGAGAACCCTGACTAATACAGATTTTGTACCAGGAGTAGTTCTAGAGGAACAGAATATTAAGGATAGAGTTCTTTCATTGGTTTTGGGGTTTCTGGAGTTGGCTACTTAATATGATTAGATCCCAAAATGGTAAGGACTCTACTTCTAATAGTATGGAGAACACTGATAGTCCTTGGCTTGAACTGTTTAGAGAGTTATGCAAAATAAATGCATTTGACACTCCTGATTCATCGCTCATGAGAGACAAGGAGTTTAGTGACTCTGTACATAATACATTTGACCATATGTGGAGAACCAAGGAACAAAATGAAGCTGGTTGGTTGCTCCTAAGTTCAGCGGACAAAGTGATGAAAGAAAATGAGGAACTCAGGGATTCTGTCTCCCGGCTTCAGAAGCAAATACTGAGCCTCAAATCTGCAAAGATTGCTCTGACTGAGAGTCTTATCTCCTATAGAGAAAAAGCTGAAATTGTGGGAAAACAGACACAAGCTCTAATCATGTGAGTGGCTGACCTGCAACAAAAGGTGCATGTTCCACCTCCCCAGGTGTCTACTGTTAAAGTGAGGGCATTGACTGGAAAATAATAGGACCCTGAAAGTTGGAATGGGGATGTGTGGGAGGACCCTGATGAAGCTGGGGACACTGAGTTTGTAAACTCTGATGAACCCTTTTTGCCGGAAGGAACAGCTTCCCCATCCCCAGTAGTGGCAACATCCCCTCCCCTACCCATCAATCTTTCCACCTTTGTCTGAGGAGATAAAGCCTGTGCTGCCTGAGGCAACAGTGATGGCCTCCCCTGAGGCAGTTGCCAGGTAAGATAATGTTGACTCTCCTCAGGAGCCACCCCCACCACCCCTGTTTGCTTCTAGATCTATAGCTAGACTAAAGTCCTGGTAGGCCCTTTGAGGTGAGGTTGAGAGTGTGACCCATGAGGAAGTGCACTACACTTGAAAAGAATTGCTTGAGTTTTCTAATTTATATAAGTAGAAATCAGGAGAACAGACATGGGAATGGATATTAAGGGTGTGGGATAATGGTGGAAGGAATATAGAGTTGGATCAGGCTGAATTTATTAATTTGGGCCCATTAAGAAGGGACTCTGCATTTAATGTTACATCTCAGGGAGTTAAAAAAGGTTCTGATAGTTTATGTGCTTGATTAATTGAAATATGGATTAAAAGATGGCCCACTGTGAGTGAGATGGAAATCTCTGATCTCCCTTGGTTTAATGTAGAGGAAGGGATCCAAAGGCTGAGGAAAATTGAGATGGTGGAGTGGATTAGTCACTTTAGAGCTACTCATCCCAGCTGGGGGGGTCCAGAAGATATACCCTTGACCAATGCCTTGTGAAATATAATTTGTGAGGGCAGCACCTGCATCTTTGAAGAGCCCTGTAATTGCTCTTCTGTATATGTCAGATCTAACGGTGGGAACCTCAGTCACTCAACTAAAAAAATTAAATACAGTGAGAATAATTGGATCCTGAGATTGCAAGGGCCAAGTGGCAGCACTCAACCATCAAAGGCAAAGGTGGGCATAAGTACTGTAATGATCACCAGAGGCAAAGTGACAATCAGAATAGTCCAACTTGTGTAGAACTCTGGCATTGGCTAATTAATCAGGGTGCTGCTCCTAGAAGTGAAATTGAGAAGATGCCTACTGCATTCCCATTTAATTTTTACTAGCAGAACACTTCTAGGTCAAATGGACAAAGAATAATTTGAATTATAAAAACAGAGAATCATGGCCTCTTAATCAATTGCCAGACTTGAGCAAGTTTACAGACCCAGAACCCCTTGAATGCAGGGGA